>NC_000006.12:68064927-68367957 GCF_000001405.40 Homo sapiens | reverse complement strand
TTGAACTCTGACTATACTAAGGCATTATATTAAACTCATTATTTAATACAAACATAACAAAATAAAAATTTGTACAGGAAGCTCTATGCTTACATTATTTTTACCAACTATGAAACCGAGGTTTTGAGAGGTTAAATAACTGTTGAAAGTATATTTAACTAAAGAGTGTCAGAGCTGATATTTAAACTCATGAGTTTCTCTGATTTCAGGGCTCATATACTTAAATCATAAAATTATGTATACAATGATAGGGCCCTGCATAAAGTTCCATGGGAGAACAGAAACTTATAATCCAGATGGGAATATTGCAGAAGTTTCCATGGAACAGTTACACCTATGTTGTCTTGTTAAATTTTTGTTGGATTTAGGTGTAAAGGTATATAGGTCTTCCCTTGAAAGATCTTCCCCAGCAGTGCATGTGGAAGACACTGTATAAAGCAAGGTGACAATCAGTAGCATTAATAGAGCAAAGGTGCTCTCCTATTAGAAGAACATAAAATAGAAAGATAGAAGTGGTGGAAAATTTATGTGGAGAAGGAGACGGGGCCCTTGTCCTTGAGGGCCTTATGTGGCACAATGAGGAGTTTATATTTTATGTAAAAAGCAGTTGGAAGCCAGTACAATTTTAGTAAAAGAACTTACAAGGTCGTATTTGTAGTATTTATTAATCATTCTATCTAGAATTGGAGGGATAAAGAAGAAAATCAGAGAAGCAGAAACAGAAGTTAGAAAATTGTTCCAGTAACCCAGGTGAGAGGTGATTAATGAGGGCTATACAGAGCAATGGCACTGGCATCAAGAAGACCTGGGCTGTCATTCTGGCTCTGCCACCTACAAACTGTGTGGCTTGGGGCTAGTTTTAAACATTTACAATTTCCAAGTTTCTGAAATGGTAAATGAGGTTAGTATCTCCCTCACATATTTATTGAAAGGAACATACGTGAAAATCCATGTAAACTGCTTAACATATTGTTTGGCACATTTTACACATTCAATAATTTAGTGATCTTATTTCTAGTGTTATATTTACTTATACAATCAATACAATAGCTCTTCTGAGGAGGAGGGCATGGAGTATGAGCTGAAGTTTTCATCTTAGAAGCCAAAGTAGTGGCTCATACCTGTAATCTCAGCACTTTGGGAGGCTGAGGTGGGTGGATCATGAGGTCAAGAGTTCAAGATCAGCTTGGCCAAGATGGTGAAACCCCATCTCTACTAAAAATACAAAAATTAGCCGGGTGTGGTGGCGCACACCTGTGATCCCATCTACTCAGGAGGGTGAGGGAGAGAATTGCTTGAAGCTGGGAGGCGGAGGTTGCAGTGAGCCAAGATCATGCCACGGCACTCCAGCCTGGGCGACAGAGTGAGACTATGTCTCAAAAAATAAAGAAAAATTAAAATAAATTAAAAAAAAGTTAAAGTGAACAAGTCAGTTGATGGAGCATGTCTAGTACACTGGGCTGCAGAGATTTCCAGACACAAAGTATATGTAACAGGTGGTATTCTTAGTGCACAAACCTAAAATATATTTTATACTGAAATTACATCAAAGCCTTTCCCAATGTAAGAATTTCAACTTCGGGTACCATTAGGGCTCCCTCTCTCTGCAGGGTTCCATATGTCACAAAAAATTCTAAAAGAAGAACCATACTCTTAATCTATAGGTAAGCCATCATTTCCTTGAATTCTTCTGCTACCAAATACACAACAAGAGATGATCTTCATAAAGTTTCCAAGAACATACACCGGGGAAAGGACACTCTCTTACATGGTGCTGGGAAAACTGGATACCCACATGGAAAAGAACGAAACTGGACCCCATCTCTCACCATATACAAAATCAACTCAGCATGAATTAAAGACTTAAATGTAAGACCTGTAAAACTGTAAAACTACTAGAAGAAAATATGGAGGAAACACTTCAGGACATTGGTCTAGGCAAAGATTTCACAGATTAGACCTCAAAAGCACAGGGAAGAAAAACAAAAATAGACAAATTGGACATATTAAACTGAAAAGCTGCTGCTCAGCAAAGGAAACAATCAACAGAATGAGGAGACAACCTGCTCAATGAGAGAAAATATTTGCAAACTATTCACTTGACAGGGGACTAATATCCAGAATATACGAGGAAATCAAACAGCAAAAAAACAAATAATCCCATTTAAAAATGAACAAATGATCTGTATAGTCACATCTCAAAAGACATACAAATGGCCAACAGGTATGGGAAAAATAATGCTCAAAATCACTAATCAGAGAAATACAAATTGAAACCATAATGAAATATTTTAGTAATAGTCCAGTTAGAATGGCTATTTTTGAAAATCAAAAAATTTAGCAAATACTGGCAAGGATTTAGAGAACTCATAAGGTATCAGTGGGTTTGTAAATTAATACAGCCGGTATGGAAAACAGTATGGCGATTTCTCAAAAAAAATAAAAATAGAACTACCACATGATCCAGCAACTCCACTACTGGTATTAATCCAAAGGAAAATAAATTAGTATATCAAAAAGATACCTGCACTCACATGTTTATTGCAACATTATTCACAATAGCTAAGCTATGGAATCAACCTAGTGTCCATTAATGGACAATTGGACTTAAAAATGTGGTCTATTAATTTATACAAAGGACTACTATTTGGCCATAAACAAGGATAAAATCATGTAATTTGTAGCAACATGGATGGAAGTGGAGGTCATTATGTTAAGTGAAAATAAGCCAGACACAGAAAGACAAATATCACATGTTCTCACTCAAAAGATAACGAAGTTCATCTCATGAAGACAGAAAGTAAAATAATAGATACCAAATTCTGAGAAGTGTATGCGGGTGGGGGTAGGGGGGGTGAAGAGAGGTTGGTTAATGGGTATAAACATACAGTTAGAATGAATAAGTTCTAATATTTGATAACAGAGTATGGCGACTATAGTTAACAACAATGTATTGTGTATTTCAAAATAGCTAGAAGTGAGGAATTAAAATGTTTCCGACACAAAGAAATAATAAATACTTGAGGTGATGGATATCCCAAATACCCTTACCTGACAATCACATATTCTATGCACATAACAGAATATCATATATCCCCCATAAGTATGTATAAAATTATGTATCAATTTTTAAAAAGAGCTCGTCTTCAAATGCTGTTGAGGGCACTACCCAAGGATTTTTATTAGTCAGATTATGCTGTGGTAGCAACAAACCCCAGAAACTCTTTTTTTTTTCCTCATTCTACATGTTCATTTCAGGCCAATTGGAGGGCTTTGATCTGCATGGTGAACACTGTAGGACCCAGGCTGCTGGAATGTTTCCAGGCACCACAGCAGAGGGAAACAAAAAGCATATTGAGTCTCTCACCAAATCTGAAAGCTTCCATGAGAAAGTGACATGCACTTCCTTTCATATTATACGTTGCCCAAACCAAGTCATGCGGGCACAAGAAAGGGAGCAAAATAAAATCCTACCCTGTACTCAGGAAGAAAACCAACTGCATTTGGCATATAGCACTAATGATTACCAAAGAAGCCAATCATACTCTACTACCCACAAACTTTCCCACAGTAACCTTTTAATCTGTTTTTTAGTTTGAAAAGTGTAGTGTACAGTCTGTACCACAGCATGCTTCAATATGCAGCATTATTTGCTGATGAGGGCTTTGTCTCCACCATGCACAGAGAACATCCCAAGACCAATACCCTGAGGAATCTCAACGTTCTTGGATTGATCTGCTTTTTCTTCTCTCAGCTAAAGATTTCTTCATACCACCACAGACTAGGTAAGGATAATTTCTAGTTGTTTGAAAATTCTACTTTCAGCCCATTAGAGTTTTTTTTTTTTTTTTTTTTTTTTTAGCTCAAGAAGTCTTTAACTATCATCTATTTCTACCCTACCCAATTCCCTAGATAAAGAGCTCTGACATGAGAACTAAGACAAATCCCATGAGATGGCAGAAGATCAAATGTATACACACACACACACACACACACACACACACACACACACAGCTTTTGATTTTCTCTTTCAATCTTGCTATCCAGAGATCTTATGGGTAAAGCAAATAAATTAATCATGCATATGAAATAATGAGTTGATTTTTTTCCCAGTTTTACTAAAGTAGTTAGTAGTCTCAGATCCTCACGTTTCCCTAGAGCGGTACATACTGATGTTTGAGAAGATGCACTAAGCATCGGTCCCACTAAATGCTGGACATTTATGAGGCCTTAAAAATGCTTTATCACATTTTTCAACTGACCGTGTGTATAAGCCCAGTTATTTTGAGGATAAACAAATTAGTAAAATAAAAAATTATTATTTTTGTACATGGCTAGTCTGAAAATGAAAAGTGAAACTTAGCTAATAATTTTATTTTATTTTGTTGTTGTTGTTGAGATGGAATCTTGTTCTGTCACCCAGGCTGGAGTGCAGTGGCATGATCTCGACTCACTGCAAGCTCCGCCTCCCGGGTTCACGCCATTCTCCTGCCTCAGCCTCCAGAGTAGCTGGGACTACAGGCGCCCGCCACCACGCCCGGCTAATTTTTTTGTATTTTTAGTAGAGACGGGGTTTCACCATGTTAGCCAGGATGGTCTCCATCTCCTGACCTCGTGATCCGCCCGTCTCGGCCTCCCAAAGTGCTGGGACGACAGGCGTTAGCCACAACACCCGGCCTTCTCTAATAATTTTTATTGAGAAAAGTTAATAGCAATAAGCAGCCCATGAGTGAATGGCTACTAATAGTTTAGCTCACTTTGTGTAAGCTTTCCATATTAAAACATAAGTAATTAATATAAAAGAGAATTTCCTGCCTTTTGACACTGACGGAATTTTTTTTAAGTTCCTTTACTTATGTGCTACTTGGCTCCATAGGCCCATTGTTTGAGCTGAAATAACCTGGCTGAATTATGGGGGAAATAATTTTGGTAAAAGACTAGTAGAAATATAAGACTACTGTGTCTTATATCAGACCCTCTTCCACACCAAAATGCATTAAGCTTTCAATATAGGTAAAACAGCAGGCACACCAAAACCGCTGGTTAAATAAGTAATCTATTCATGGAGAACTGGTCTTGGTTTATTTAGCTCTGGGCTTAAATCCTTAATTATGAACCTTAATTATGAACAGTGAGACCTATATGATCTCACTGACTGCAACAGAATTATCACTTCCTAAATGGCACAATAGGTAACTATAATGGGTATTTCCTTGACAAAAATATTTAAGTGTTAGCAGCCATAAAAAGGAATGAGATCGTGTCCTTTGCAGGGACATGGATGAAGCTGGAAACCATCATCCTCAGCAAACTAACACAGGAGCAGAAAACCAACCACTGCATCTTCTCACTCATAAGGGGGAGTTGAACACTGAGAACGCATGGACACAGAGAGGAACAACACACAACAGGACCTGTTGGGTGTTGGGGGGGTGAGAGGAGGGAACTTAGAGGATGGGTCAATAGGTGCAGCAAACCACCATGGCACACGTATACCTACGTAGCAAACCTGCACATTCTGCACATGCATCCCATGAATATTTATTTCAGTGCTAGCAAATAGCCTATCCGGTCATTGGCCCATCTAGATAAGCTATAGTCGGTCAACCCAAACTTTGTTATTGCCTCTTTCCGTGCAATACAGATAAGAAATAATACCTGCCCCCATCCCCTGACACACATACACGCACACTTATGCATATGCTTATGCAGTAAACCTTTTGGTATTGCATAAATATTTTTATTTATAATTACAAAGCTGTGATACACTACCATATTCAGTGGGATTTTAGAATTTCCCTGCAAACAACACAAGTTGTCAAGTACTTAACATACATTACTAACACATGCAAACTTAAGTGACTTAAACGGGCATTTAAGAAAGTTTCACCTCATCTGCGTATGGCAACGCTGATGAATTACTTCAGAACAGATGTTAACGTTTAGCACATTTACTTCCTTAATGTTCATTTGAAAAGAAATATCTTATGCTGTAAATTATAAGACTGACAGACTGGAGAGTGGAAAAATATCTATATTTTTCCTATCAATTAAACACCTTTGATTTTGGAGTCAATGTCTTTAGTAAAATGTTTGAGAGCCATTAAACATTGTTCATGTCTCTTTAATTACTCTAAACTAAGCATTTACAACTCCACAGGGAGAAATCATGTTTCCAGTGTCAGTGGTTACACAGTTCCCAATGTTAATTCACTAACTCTTTAAAAATATTTCTTTCAGTAAATATCTGTTCTAAAAGAAAGCATAGGTAGTGTATCAGTCTGTTCTCACATTGCCATAAAGATACTACCTGAGACTGGGTAATTTATAAAAGAAAGAGGTTTAATTGACTCACAGTTCCACATAGCTGGGAGGCCTCAGAACTTACAATCACGAGAGAAGGTGAAGGGCGAAGCAAGGCCTTTTCTTTGCATGGTGGCAGGAAAGAGAAGCGTAAACAAAGGAGGAACTTGCCAGACACTTATAAAACCATCAGATCTCGTGAGAACTCACTCACTATCACGAGAACAGCATGGGGGAAACCTCCCCCATGATCCAATAATCTCTCACCAGGTTCCTCCCTCAATGCCTGGGGATTACAATTCAAGATGAGATTCAGGTGGGGACAGAAAGCCTAACCATATTAAATAGGGACTACTCAAGTCACACATGAAATAGAGCAATGCCTCTCAAATTTCAGCATGCATTAGATTCACCTGATGGACAGGTTCAAACACAGACTCTGGGCCCACCCTCAGAGTTTCTGATTCAGTACTGTGGGGTGAGGCCCAAGAATCTGCATTTCTGACAAGTCCCCAGATGTTGATGTTGAAGTAGCTGCTCTGGGAGCTGAACTTTAGGAATTAATGGTATTGAGTATGTAAACACACCCAATTGTTTTTCTAGGTTAAAAAGTGTTCAATATTTGAAAAAGTTTGGGGAAATCCTGCAGAGTAAATTGTAATCTTGGAGATTTACAACAAAGGTTCTAAGAAGTACTAAAGTTAAAAAAATCGTTTGATTTTTCTTTAACTCAGTATTTCTCCAAATCATTTGATCAAAAATCCTATTTATCATAAATAATTAATTAACGTATACTTGGACATTTGTAGAAACAGAGTTAGGAAAATTTCTCTCTTAAGATTCTTATGTAAACCTTGTAACATGGGACTGCTGGTTTCTGGTTCCACATGTAAGAAGCTTGGAAGTTGCCACTGTGTCCTAACAACAGGTAAAAAGATAAACAGACTGAAAAATCAACAACTTTTCCTAGATCTGAAAGAGAATGGAGGACACGGACAAACTGCTACACCCAAAATTGGAAAGACAGACGGGAAATACTGGGAGTTATTGTTTACCAGAGCAAAGACTCGTGGCCTGAAACTACCACAGATAGGTAAACTTGAACTGTAATGATAAATTCCTGAAGGTTCAGTGTAGACAACTGTGAGAAGTAAAAACTCAAGAGTCCCAAGAATAGCAGGTGGCCCCCAATATTTTGAGATTTAGCTCCACAGCTCAACTATATTCTCACACTAAAGACTGGAGAAAAGTCTCCTCATCCTTCTAGCAGGAGACCAAGAAAAGAAAATATTTTGAAATATGCTACAGTAGTCTGTTCTTTTTAACAAGGTATGCCCCCAGTAGAAACGAGTTAACCAGATCCTAACCTTCTGCGGTGTTTCTTATCAGAGCCCAACTGACCTGGGAGATAGAAATATCCAACTCGGCTGGGCGCCGTGGCTCACGCCTATAATCCCATCACTTTGAGAGGCAGAGGCGCGCGGATCACGAGGTCAGGAGATGGAGACCATCCTGGCTAACACGGTGAAACCCTGTCCCTACTAAAAATACAAAAACAAAATTAGCCAGGCGTGGTGGCGGGTGCCTGTAGTCCTAGCTGCTCAGAAGGCTGAGGCAGGAGAATGGCATGAACCTGGGAGGCGGAGCTTGCAGTGAGTCGAAATCATGCCACTGCACTCCAGCCTGGGCGCGACAGAGTGAGACTCCGTCTCAAAAAAAAAAAAAAAAAAAAAAAAATTCCAACTCTAGTGAGCTCTAGCTTTCTAAGTAAGAGAAGGGAAATACCCAATTTCAGCTCATTATAGCTATCCCGTTCCACCTAAGGCAGGAAAAAACTGAGAAACACTTGTGAAATTCACAGTCCAGGACATGGGCTTACTAAAAGACTGAGATCAAATCATAGGACTATAGAACACTTATAGGACTATAGAAACCCTCACTCCACACATTACTAAAGGTCTATTTACAGCACTTTTATTTACCTGATATATTCTGTCCAGCTATAAAAACAACTTTTTTTTTTCAAGATGGCACAGACTTTTAGCATAGCTCAGCTACTTGGAAATGGCAAGATAGTGCATAAACTCTGAGTTTTTTTGAAGAAGAAAAATGGGAATCCACTGAAATCGTGAAGGATATCTCGGAGTATCTTAGGGAGTAGAGCATGGGCAAACAGCCCTCGTGATGTAGTCCAGCTGATAAAAGTGAGTGAAACCCCAGTATGTGAGAGAGGCAGAGAACTTCCCTCTGTGACTCATCTTTTCATTGGGCATCTGAACAACCCAGGCTGAGGGAGAGCACTTTGTTTCTCTCAAGCCCTAGAGCTAACTTGAGGAGAGACTTAGAGATGCTGTGAAGAAAGATAATGGAAAAAGCTGCAGTCATTTTCCCAGACCCAGAACCGAGAGTTGCACACGATTTTAAATCTGGAAGAACATAACGTAAGCCATTCCTTGGTGAGCTGGCAGTGTGCCTACACAGGCATTTTAGTTTTCAGGCCAGAAATTGGAGTGCCTGCTCTAGAGCTGGATATGGACCCCCACAGCCAGAACTCTGGAAAGTGCCCCAGCAGTAGGAAGTGGAATTGTGTTCTGTCTCATCACAGGCCTGGAGCAGGAGGAGAGCTGCTACAGCTGCAGTTTCTCCTGAATTATGAGACTTGCAGCCCAGGACAAACTTGGCAATGTGGAACTGGTCTGTATGTGTCATTGCTGGATGCCCCAGCCTGTTCCCCTGAGATTGTGGTGCAGTGGGGCCCTCTCCACTCCATCCACAGGCATAGATCCAGGCATTTAGGGTACTCACTTACCTGGACCAACAGCCTGGGCTGCCCTACCCTTGCTGGACATTGAGCATGGTGCAGGAGGGCCCTTTGCTTCATGCCTAGGCAGATCTCAAAGCACCTAGTAGCCCAGATTTGTAACCTTGGCTACCATTCCTGTGCATAGATATGGGTGAAGGGGGGCCCTCCCTGCTTCATGCCCAGGCAGATGTCCAGCCATTCAGAGCACCTGTTTGCCTAGATCAACAGCCAGAGTCCATGCCCAGGCATATCTCCAGGCATTAGGGGCACCCACTTGCTTGGAACAGCAGCCTGAACCTTCCCACCATTGCTGTGGAGAGACCCTGGCACGGGGAGCCCTCCTCAACTCCATGCTAAGCCAAGGCAGATATCCAGGCATCTGGAGCACCCACTCTCCTGGATTAGGAGCTTAGGCTGCCCTCCATCCCTGCGCAGAGAACTTGGCAGTGAGGAGCTTTCCCCACTCCATTCCTAGGCAAACCTCTGGGTACTTGGAAGCCATCCTCTGGATTTTCTCTTTGTGCTGGTACTTGTGCCTGCCATTAGAGACCTTGTAGCTAAACCTGCCTGGTCCAGCCCTGCCCATCTTGCCCCTGACCCCCCAGGACTAAGAACACAGCTCAGACTACTTACTGTGCACTCCATGAATCAGACTATTGCCTGAGGAAACAGAGAGGTTATCCCAGTAAATAAGAATTAAGTATATATTCAGCCACATTGGCCACAACTGCCTCTTAACCATAAGTCACATCTACTGGCTTGTAGGTTGAATTGCACAGCCCAGTATAAAACCTGGTGACAAAGGTGAATAAGGATATAGAAGCAAAACCAAAAGACCTTACTGAGCATTCTCTACAGTCAGACCCCTTAGAGGGGAGAAGGAAAAGGGAAAGAAGAAAAAAAAATAAAGATAAGAAAGAAAAAGAAAAAATCCCACCTGCCCAAAAATAATTTTACAAAATGAGAAATGCCAACATTTCTGGATGAGAAGGAACCAACATAAGTATTCAGGCACCATGAAAATAATATGAATGTCATGACACCACAAAGGATCCCATTATTTCTACAGCAGTGATCCCTATCCAAAATGGACTGAGACATGACAGATAAACAGTTCAAAGCATGAATTGCAGAGAAGCTCGATGAGATCCAAGACAAGGTTGAAAATAAAAAAAAGAGACATCTAAAGCAATCCAGGAAATAAAGAAAGATAAATATCTTAAAAGGATGTTAGAGCACAGCTTCTGGAATTTAAAATAACAAACTCACTTAAGGAATTTCAAAATATGATTGAAAGTTTTATCAATAGATTGGACCAAGCAGAAGAAAGAATCTCAAGCTTGAACATCAGTTTTCAAACTAACCGAGACAGACAAAATTAAGAAAAGAGAATATAGGGCTGGGCGCGGTGGGTCATGCCTGTAATCCCAGCACTTTGGGAGGCTGAGGCCAGTGGATCACAAGGTCAGGAGATCAAGACCATCCTGGCTAACATGGTAAAACCTCGTCTCTACTAAAAATACGAAAAATTATCCAGGCGTGGTGGCGGGTGCCTGTAGTCCCAGCTACTCTGGAGACTGAGGCAGGAGAATGGCGTGAACCCTGGAGGCGGAGCTTGCAGTGAGCCGAGATTGTGCCACTGCACTCCAGCCTGGGTGACAAAGCGAGACTCTGTCTCAGGAAAAAAAAAAGAGTATATAAAATGAACAAAGTCTTCAAGAAATATGGAATTATAAATTATTGCCATTCCTGAGAGAGACAGAGAAAAAGAAATGACCTGGAAAAAAAACTGAGGGAATAATTCAAGAAAATGTTCTTAATTTTGCTAAAGAGGTAGACATCAAGATACAAGTAATCCAGAGAACACCTGTGAGATACTATACAAAATGCACATCACTAAGGCATACAGTCACCAGACCACACAAGGTCAATGCTAAAGCAAAAATCTTAAAAGCAGCTAGAGAAAAATATAAGATCATATACAAAGGGAACTTCATCAGGCTAACAGCAGATTTCTGAGCAGAGACCTTAGAAGCCAGGAGAGATTTGGGGACTATTTTCAGCATTCTTAAACAAAAAATGAGATTCCAACCAAGAATTTTATATCCTGCCAAACTAAGCTTTATAAGTGAAAGAGAAATAAAAGCTTTTCCAGACACTAATGAAATTCCTTACTACTAAACCAGTCTTACAAAAGATTCTTAAGGGAGTTCTAAACATGGAAATGAAAGAATGATACCTACTATCACAAAAACACACTCTACTTAGAAGGCATAGGGTGGCAAGATAGATTGAAAAAAAGATCCATTCATCTGCATCTGCTGTCTTCAAGAGACCAATCTCACACATAATAACAGCCATAGTCTCAAAGTAAAGAGTTGAAAAAAGATTTATCATGTAAATGGGAAATAAAAAAGGAGCAGGGATCACTATGCTTATATCAGATAAAACAGAATTTAAACAAACAAAAGTAAAAAAAGGACATAGAAGGACATTAAATAATAATACACATTTCAATTCAAGAAGAAGACATAATTATCTTCAATATATATGCACCAAGCAATGGAGCATCTAGATTCACAAAACAAGTACTTCTAGACCTATAAAAAGACTTAGGCAGCCACACAATCATAGTAAGGGACTTCAATATCCATTGACAGCTTTAGACAGATCTTTGAGAGAGAAAACTAAAAAAAAATTTTGGACTTAAGTTAAACACGTGACCAATTGGACCCAATAGACATCTACAGAATACTCCACTCGTCAATCACAGAATATATGCTCATCTGCACCTGGGACATACTCCAAGACTGATCACATGCTCAGGCATAATGCAAATCTCAATAAATTCAAAAAAATCAAAATTATACCAACCATACTATTGGATCACAGTGGAATAAAAATATAAATAGATAGCAGAAGATCTCTCAAAACCACACAATTACATTTACATGGAAATTAAACAACTTTCTCCTAAATGACTTTTAGGTAAAAAGAGAAAATAAGGCTGAAATAAAAAAATTTCTTTGAAATAAATAAAAACAGATAAAAATTTCTAAATCTCTGGAATTCAGCAAAAGTAAAGAGGAAACTTTATAGCATGAAATTTCTAAGTAAAAAAAGATAGATCTCAAATTAACAATCTAATATCACACCTGGAGGAACTAGAAAAACAAAAACAAACCCAGGTATGTAAGGCTGGTTTGCTTGGTTAGCTGAAATATGGATAAAAAATGGCCCACTGTGAGCAAGCTGGAAACACCTGATCTCCCTTGGTTTAATTTGAGAAAGGTATTCAAAGGCTTAGGGAGATTGGATGGTGGAGTTGATAAGTCACTTTAGACCTATTCATCTAAGCTGGGAGGGTCCAGAAGATATACCCTTGAACAAAGCCTTGCAAAATAGATTTGTGAGGGCAGCGCCTGCATCTTTGAAGAGCCCTGTAATTGCTCTTCTCTGTGTGTCAAAGCTAACAGTGGGAACTGCAGTCACTCAACTACTAAATTTAAGTACAGTGAGAATAATCGGATCCTGAGGTGGCAGGGGCCAAGTGGCAGCACTCAACAGTCAAAGGCAAGGCTGGTGTAGCTACTGTAATGGACAGCAGAGAGAAAGTGGCAATCAGAATAGTCTGATTTGTGTAGAGCTCTGACATTAGCTAATTAATCACGGTGTTCCTAGAAGTGAAATTGATAGGATGCCTACTGCATTCCTACTTGATTTATATAAGCAGAAATCTTCTAGTTCGAATGAACAAAATAATAATTTGAATCACAGAAACAAAGAATCATGACCCCTCAATCAATTCCCAGACCGTTTACAGACCCAGAACCCCTTGAATGAAGGGAAGACTGGGTCCTTTTGAGGAAGGACCCCACTACATTACCAACAAGTTATGCTGTAAATCTTTCTGCCATCCTTCCCCAAGGAGACTTCTGGCCTTTTACCAAGGTAACTGTGCATTGAGGAAAGGGAAATGATTAGACCTTTTGGGGACTACTGGACACTAACTCTGACCTGATGTTGATTCCAGGGGACCCAAAACGTCACTGTGGTCCTCCAGTTAAAGTAGGGCTTATGGAGGTCAAGTATTCAATGGAGTTTTGCTTCAGGTCTCACTTACAATGGGCCCCCGGACTCATCCTGTGGTCATTTCCCCAGTGCCAGAATGCATACTTGGCATAGACATACTTAGCAGCTGGCAGAACCCCAACATTTGCTCCCTGACTGGTACAGTGAGGGCTATTATGGTGGGTAAGGCCAAATGGAAGCCATTAGAGCTGCCTCTACCTAGAAAAATTGTAAATTAAAAACAGTATTGCATCTCCCGTAGTGATGGTGAATGGTGCCACCATTACCATCACTAGCAAAATTTTTACATCCTGTTCTCATGACATTACATTCTGCTGGCCTAGAGGTCCTAGTTCCAGAGGGAGGAACTAAGCACACACAACAATGACTCCATTAAACTGGAAGTTAAGATTGTCATCTGGACACTTTGGCATCCTCCTGCCTTTAAGTCAACAGGCCAAGAATGGTGTTACAGTGTTGGCTGGGATGATTGACACAGACTATCAAGATGAAATCAGTCTACTACTCCAAAATGGTGGTAAGAAAGAGTATGCATAGAATACAGGAGATCCATTAGGGTGTCTTTTAGTATTACCATGGCCTGTGATTAAGGTCAATGCAAAACTACAACAGCCTAATTCAGGCAGGACCACAAATAACCCAGACCCTTCAGGAATGAAGGTTTGTGTCACTCAACAAGGAAAAGAACCATGACCTGCTGAGATGCTTGCTGAAGGCAAAGGGAATACAGAATGTGTAGTAGAAGAAGGTAGTCATCTATACCAGCTACAGCCACGTGACCAGCTGCAGAAACAAGGACTATAATTGTCATGAGTATTTCTTCCTTCTTTTGTTAAAAACATGTTTGTGCATGTATATGCTTGTACTAAAGAAATATCTTCATTTTATTTCCTTTCTCCTTTATCACGTTACATAAGATTTATTGATTTCACATCAGCATTTAAGTATTGTTAACTTTATGTAATAGTATTTGGGTTGGGGATTGGTGCATTTCTGGTTGTACGAAGCATAGTTGTATTATGTTAGGTGTAATTATGACCTCATTATTGTCTTTATTTGAAGATTATGTATGATCTCAGGAGATATGTGTGGGTTCAAGTTGACAAGGGGTGGACTTGTGATAGTTAATACTGAGTGTCAACTTGATTGGATTGAAGGATTTGACCCTAGGTGTGTCTGTGAAGGTGTTGCCAAAGGAGATTAACATTTGAGTCAGTAGTGGGGAAAGACAGACCCACCCTTAACCTGGGTGGACACAATCTAATCAGCTGCCAGCATGGCTAGAATATAAGCAGGCAGAAAAATGTGAAAAGAGAGACTGGCCTAGCTACCCAGCCTACATCTTTCTCCTGTGCCGGATCTTCCTGCCCTCAAATATCAGACTCCAGGTTCTTCAGTTTTGGAACTCAGACTGGCTCTCCTTGCTCCTCAGCCTGCAGATGGACTATTTTGGGATCTTGTGATCATGTGAGTTAATACTTAATAAACTCCCCTTTATATATATATACCTATTCCATTAGTTCTATCTCTCTAGAGAACCCTGACTAGTACATATGTCGTCAGGGAAATGCAGATCGAAACAACCATGAGATACCACTACACACCTACTAGAATGGCCAAAATCTAAAACACTGACAACACCAAGTACTGACAAGAATATGGAATAGCAAGAACTCTCATTAATTGCCGGTAGGAATGCAAAATTGTAGAGTGGATTTTGAAGACAATTTCATGGTTTATTATAATACTAAACATACCGTACCATAAAACCTAGCAATACAAATTATGTCCACAGAAAATCCTGTACATGGATATTTGTAGCAACTTTATTTATATTTTCTCAAACTTGAAAGCAACCAAGATGTCCTTCAATAGGTGATTGGGTTAATAAACTGTAGCATAGCTAGACAAGGGAATGTTATTCAGTTCTAAAAGGAAATGAGCTTTTAAGCCATGAAACATGGAGAAACATTAAATAAGTATTACCAAGTGAAAGAAGATAAACTGAAAAAAGCTACATGCTGTATGACTTCAACAACATTACATTCTTAAAGAGGCAAAACTATGGTGACAGCAAAAAGATGTCATGTTTAGGGGTCTTGGGTGGCCCCTGTTAACCAACTCTCCCAGGGATGATATGTTCCCTTTGGTCCAATTCACACTAAAGATGAATCTGATGTTTATTCTGGGAGTACTCTTACAAGATGGACAGTGAGAGCTGGATCATAGGCTGGGCCATATCCACTCAGGTGTTAGAAGAGTGCCTGACTGGGAGGGTCTCCATCTGGAGACGATTCTCAGAGGTTAGGGAATTGTTCCCCCTTTCTTATACTTACATACACTCCAGGTCTGTTAACAGGTGTTTGCTTCATAAAGGGAGTTTAAGCTATTCTTATAAGAGTAAGATTTGTTTTAAGGTTTACGAAAGTTGCATCTGTGCTGAGGTGTCCTTGTCTCTAGGACAACCAGTGTTTTTAAGTGCTGTCATTATAAATACTTAGTAATCCCTCGGCCAGGATTAAAAGTCTCCAGCCCATGTTATATCATATTGCTAAGTGTCACATAGCATAGGTTCTGCGAGATGTTTGAGTGGGCCTTATGGCCATCATTAGCCTTATAGTCACAAATATCACTTATAGCATACTGCAAAAGATTAGTGGTTTCCAAGCATTAAGAGAGAGAGGGGATGAATAGGTGAAGCACAGAAGATTTTTAGGGAATGAAAATTCTCTGTATGGTACTATATAAATACATGTCATTACACATGTTTCTAGACATATAGAATGTACAACACCAAGAGCAAACCCTAATGTAAATTACACTTTGGGTGATTATGATGTGTCAATGTAAGATCATCAATTATAATGAATGTACTACTATGGTGGAGAATGTTGATGATGGAGGAGGATTCACATGTATAGGGGTAAGGTGCATATGTGAAATCTCTTTAACTTCCTCTTAATTTTGCCATGAACCCAAAACTGCTGTAAAAAGATAAAGTATTCAATAATGAAAAATAATTTACAGTATCTGAACTAATTTACATTCTCACCCTTCACACAATATACTCATGTAACAAAGCTCCACAGGTACTGCCTGAATCTAATACAAAAGTTGAAATTATTTTAGAAAAGAAAATATTAAAAAATAAACAAAAATCTTATAGCAAGCTGCCTTGAGTAACTCATTGCCCACAGTTTCCTCCTTTCGTCCTTCCCTTTACCAGAAAGATAGTTTGCTATATTATATATTGAAAATTCAAAGGAGTATTAGCCTTTCTTATAGAGAAGGTAGAACATGAACTTTTTTTTAAATAGGATAGTAGTTAGAAATTACAGTGAAGTCATGTAGCCCAGTTTGAACTAGAAAACTAGGCTCAGAGGACATAAAACACATGGAAACAAATTTGGCTGAAGTGTGAAGTTATGCGGAATAAACAGAGTGACAAAATTTAAGACCAAATCAGACACTTGCACACAGTGATAGCACTTATCAAAAGCTGCTCTAGTACTTTCAGAGAGCTTCAAAGTTTGCTCAGAAGTTTTATTATCTCCAGCTCTAACCTACCATGTTTTATTTTTCCCTCCAGGCCAAATTTTACTTACGAGAAAGTCTTTTTTTTCATCCTAGGAATATTTGTATAAAAGCATTTTTATAAACATTGTAAGAGCCATATTACACTAGAGGAAAGAAAAAAAAGAACTTTCATAGTTTTTCTGATTGAAGAATATGTATATATTGATGGCTTGAGTAAGTATGAATGAGTGTGATGAAGTTGGGCTTAATTCAATTGATATTGTTTTCATTAAAGAAGATAACAATACTATAAAATTTAAAATGCTCTCAGTGCGTATATTTTACACTCACTGATTTATTTTTATAAAAGCTATTCGCCAATGTCCCAAGGCAGAACTTGACCCTATTTTAGTCAGCTTGGGATGTTATAACAAGATACCATAGACTGTCTTGCTTAAACAATAGAAATTTATTGCTAGCAATTCTGGACGTTGTAAGGTACAAGATCAAGAGGCTGGCCTGCCTGATTTCTCACGAGAGTCCTCTTCCTAGTTTACAGATGGACAACTTTGTGCTGTATCCTCACATGGCAGACAGAGGGAGGGAAGGGCGGGTGACAGATATCTATATGTATGTCTACATCTATAACTATCTATCTGTCTGTCTATCTATCTATCTAGTAATCTATCTAATTGAGAGAATCTCTCCTCTGTTCTCTCTTCATATAAAAACACTAATCCCATAATGAAGCCTTCACCCTCATGGCCTCATTACCTCCTAAAGTCCCTACTTTCTAATACCCTTTTATTAGGGTAAGGTTTTAACATATTATTTCTGTGGAGGGGGGACTGAAATATGCATTTTATAAGAGACCCATTAGAAAAAATACGTCAAACTACTGACTTTCAGCACAAAGGAAGAAGGCAGTGACATCAAATGTGCTCCTTGGAAGTGTAAATATTCTTTGGAAAGCTGAAATGTAACAGACAAGACATATTCATTATACCATAGATTATTTTTATCGGATATTTCCAGTCAATAAAAAATATTTCCTGATCATCTACCCTATGTCCAATTCTCTACTTTTTCATGTGTATAACCAAATAAGATAAATCCCCTTTAAAGAATGGGAATATTGCCCAGCAACCAAAATGATGTTGGCAATTGTATTAGTTTTCTATTGCTGCATAATACATCATCTCATTTATTTAGCAACTTTAAACAACACACATTTACTACTTCACAGTTTTTGTGGGTCAGGAGTCTGAATGCAACCTAATGGGGTCCTCTGCTTAGGGTGTAAGAGGCTTCAGTTTAGGTATTGGTCAGGCTGCATCTTCATCTGAAAGATTTGCTAGAGAAAGATCATCTTCTAAGATCTCCGGTTGTTGGCAGAATTCATTTCTCTGTAGTTGTAGGACTGAGGTACAGATTTCTTGTTGGTTGTCAATAAGAGGACACCCTTAGCTTCTAGTAGCTGCTTGCACTCTTTGCAGCTCCTTGCCACATTCCCCTCTCCATAGGGCTTCTCACAACAGAGGCGCTTACTTTTTTTAAGCCAGTGATGAAGAGAGAGTCTTTCTCATTAGGGAGTGCTCAGTCCCACTTTTAAGGGATTTTAACTAATTAAGTCATGTTTCTATGGTTTGAATGTACCCCCCCCCAAAAGTTTATGTGTTGGAAACTAATCCCAAATGCAGCAGTTTTTGGAGGTGGGGCCTAACAAGAGGTAATTGTGTCATGGAGGCAGAACCCTCATGAATGAATGAATGAACATTGTTCTCCAGCGAGAGGTTATCTTGACAGTAGGTTGTTACAAAGAAAGTCTGGCCTCTGGTGCCTTGGTCTGTCTTGCTCGTCAACCTTCTCTTATGTGGTGATGCAGTAAGAAGAACCTCAACAGATGCCAGTACCATGTTCTTGGACTTCTTAGCCTCCAGAACTGTAAGAAATAAACTTTTATTTTATGTAAATTACCTAGTGGGTAGCACTGTTATAGCATCAGAAAATAGACTAAGACACATGCTCACCCAAGATAATCTTATTTTGATTGAATCAAAATTAACTGATTTGGAACCTGTATTACATCTGTGAAATTACTTCACATTTGACACTTTTTATTGGCTAGAAGCAAATCCTACCCACATTACAGGAAATTAGATTATATAAGGGCAGAACCCCACAGGGTAGAGAGTATAAGGGCAAGTTTAGTATTTGCCTATTACAGTAAGTTTAGGCCATATGTTATTTTTATGTAAGTAAGTTTTAAAGAGTGGGAGAATATTTTACAGTGATTGTTAACTAAAGATAGAAACAAATGGAGATCGTGTCACTGCTCTCCAGCCTGGGCAACAGAGTAAGACCCCGTCTCAAAAAACAAACAAACAAACAAAAAGCAAAGAGACTGTTTTAGAAAATGCCCGTGATTGGGCCTTACACCAGAGATTATGATTTTATTGTTGTGGAGTAGGACTAATGCACCAGTATTTTTTTCTCTTTTGTTAAGATACATGTGACATAAAAATTTTATAGATTTAAGGTGTATGCTCCCAGGTGGTCTTTGTTAAATCAGGTGAACACAACTGCTTTCAATACTCAGAAAACAGAATGAAAAAGCTAAAGAGGGGAAGAGCTTGTCCAAATGAGCACCTGTTTGTAATCTCATTAGACGAATTTAATAAGATTGCCTAATTAAGCAGTTATGGAAGAAAGATTATTGCAATTTTGGAATCACTTTAACTCATATTTTGGTAGATACCTGGAACATCTTTAATTCCACAGTTAGAAAAAATGTTTAATTTAAAAAATAGTTTGTATGTTTCTTTGCTTTCTTCTTTTCTGAATAATTCACCTGGGGGTAAGAGCAAGTTAGTCTTGTGTTGGTGAAATAGAGTTGCTACCCTGACTAGAGGAAGAGGATGTTCAAACAGGGGGTTGTGGTAGTGGCCAAGCATGGAGTGGTAGAGTCTAAGAAAGGGGCAGAGGGTGTTCACACTAGATATTTTCAGCAACAGATTTTTACATACATAAGAGCTGAGTCTATTTACATTGACAAATATTGAGCAGACATATTTCTCACTGTTAGAAAGGAAAGCTATAAATATAAAAAGAAAAAACCTATGATATTGATTGGAATTAGAGTTATCAGTGTGAACTCATGGTTTTACATACACGCACGTACACATGCACACACAAACACACACATATTTTCTGTCCCCTAAACTGGAAGGGTCTGGGAGAAGTGACACCCCAATAGCAATGAGCTCATTTAGTACCTGGATCTTGGCTTCTAAATATTAATATAATTGTCATTAACAAGAAGCAAGTTTTCTTGAGGAAATCACTAACTTTAGGAGTAGGACAGTAAAAGATGAGCCTCGAACATCATGATGTAAAGGAAAACATCAAAGAATGTTGAAGACATGACAAAAGAACATGGATGCCAGCTTGAAGAGACTCCAATTTTTAAAATCTGGTATGATTTAAACGTTAACATAAATAAATATATAAATTATATAAATGAATGAATAAGTAAATGGAGATAAGATAAATCTTCCCTTATGGAAGAAAATTATGTATGTAGAAGGAATGAAGGAATTAAAAATGCACCATCTGGTAAACATCATAGAACTTGATTCAGGCAAGAATCATCTATGGATGCTAAAAATGGTGCTTAAAATTTTGACAAGAATCAGCGTATTAGTCTGTTTTGTGTTGCTATAAAGGATACCTAAGCCTGCGTAATTTATAAAGAAAAAAGGTTTATTTGGCCCACAATTCTGATGGCTAGAAAAGTTCAAGATTGGGCACCTGATCAGGGCCTCAGGCCATTTCCATTTGTGGCAGAAGGTAAATGAGACCTGACATGTGCAAATACCACACAGCAAGAGAGTAATCAAGCAAGAGAGGAGCGAGATGCTAGGCACTTTTAAACAACCAGGCCTCTTGCAAGAACTCTCTTACCCCTGAGAGAGGACATTAGTCTATTCATAAGGAATCCACTCCTATGTCCCAAACACCTTCCACTAAGCCTCATCTTTCAACACCTCTGCACTGGGAATTAAATTTCAACATAAAGATTGGAGGGTACAACATCCAAAGTATAGCAACCAGGATACATACATAGTCTCAAACTATTTCCCCATGAAAAATAACACACCAACAACAAACTTAAATAATTATAAAAGGAAAAGGACTACCTTTAAATTACATAATCACAGCAAACAAAAGCCTAATCAAATGATCAACTTCATATCACAAGCACTGGGTCAAAGTACAACACAGGATTCAGAGACTAAATTAGTATGTATTGCCTGAATCTAATCATGAGAAATTATAAGAGAAATTAAATGTATTTCTATAAAATAGCTCTGCAAGTCTATTCTTCAAGTGTTACAATCATGAAAGTCAATGGAAGAACGAGCCACTGTTCCAGATTTATTGAGAATAAAGAACCATGACTAAATACAGTTGACAATTGTTTGGATATTTCACTATACATTTTATTATTGGACAACTTAAAATACTTGAATGGGGTTTGTATATTCATTGGTATATTAGCTTGCTAGGACTTCCATAACAAAATAACAGACTGGATAGCTTAAACAATTAAAAAACTACTTTTTTTCATAGCACTAGAAGCTGGATTTCCAAGATCAAGGTGCTAGCAATGTTGGTATCTTCTGAGGCTTTTCTTTTTGGCTTGCAGATTTCTTCTTCTTGTTGCTTGTTTACGTAATCATTTCTCTGTGCATCTGCACCCCTAGTGTCTCTTTTCGTGTCTGAATTTTCTCTTCTCATAAGGACACTCATCAGATTGGATTAGACAGGCCTCATCTTAATTTCCTCTTTAGAAGCCTTATCTCCAAATAGAATCACATCCTGAGGTACTGAGGGTTGGTACTTCAATGTATGAATGTTGAGGAGAGGAATACAATTCATCTTATAACAGACGATATTTGTTTTCCAGTGTTAACTTCCTGATTTTGATGGTCATATTGTGGTTATGTTAGAAAATGTCCTTGTTTTCAGGAATTGCACACAAGAGTTTGGGATTGATGGAATATCAAATTTTTAAACTACTCACAACTGGTTCAGAAAAAAAAACCCAAAAATTTATTTGTATTCTTCATTCAAAAAAAGTAAAAGAAGAAAGGTAAGACCAATAAGAAACAGAAGCTTATGAGAGGCATTATCGAAGAGGCATTAATGTCACTCTAGGGAAAAGAAGTGTGACAGCGGTGATATTTGCTAAGTGACCACCACATGTTTTCCTAGGTTATAGCTCATGTTTTAAACCACAGTAAAAGTGAATATAGATGGAATTACATTTTTCACTGACCCTACAGAAAGAAGGGATAAAGTTCTAGCTCAGTATAGTCTGGAAAGATGAAAGACTTTTGACGCCTGAAGCATTAAACATTACATCAACTTCTGACATTGTAAGTGGAGAGCTCTGACAGATAGAAACCATTGTAGTTGGCTATGTACAAAAACTGGACTCATCAGAGTGGAGAGTAAGTTAAAATAATTTCTGGAAAGCACAGAAGCTAAATTCAATATTAATTAATAATTGATAGCATTTGACAGCATATAAAGTATATAAAGAGAAAATATCTAATTTTCCTATATAGTGATCCTTTCTCCTTTCAACAATGATATTGTATAATATTTAATCAAATTCAAGGCAATTAATTGATCAGTGTCCTAGGCTGTTTGTATATGACATTCTGAAGAATATAACAACTTCTTTCAAGTAAAAAACTTACCATCTCGTGGTGAAGATTTTTTTTTAAAGATGCTACAGTATTTTTACGCAAAGGCAAAAAAAGCCTGTTTTATTATGTGGTGGGTTAGGAGGGTGAGAAAGTATGCCCACTACCCTGTGTGCCATGCTCTTTCTCCTTCAGGCTTTTCTTATGCCACAAATATTCTTCCTTCCCATTCCTGGGCCCCTATTCATTTGACTAACTCCTGTGCAGCTATAAGTGCTTAGCAGCATAGGTTCTATTTTGTATAATATAAGGAGTCATTACAAGTTTTTGAGCAGCAAATTGGCATAATCAGAATTCTAACTTGGAGCTCATTAATTATTTCAACCAATGATTTGCTAAGTCCTAGGCACCTTGGCTTCATGTCTTCAAGGTAGTCTTTCCTGACACCCTGAACCTGGGATGTATGACTGTCTTTTAGTTGCCTAGAACCCTATGTTATAACTACAAATACATATGTATCATAGTGATTTGCTTGCTTGTCTGAAAACTCCACTAGGCTTTATGTCTAATTATGTTTCATTGACTGTTGTATCTTCACACATAGCCCAATGCTTCATACATTAGAGTTTGCAAAAACTATTTGATGAAGAATGAAAACCTGCTAAAAATACTTTAACCAAAGGGTTTTTAAACTCAAATAAATTTCTTTCACTTGGAGAATTACTCATGGATTACATAAAATTTGAGCTGGTTTTTAGGACTTGAAAGGTTGGAGGAATAGGAAGAGGGATTCCAGGCTGAGGTAACCACATTGTGCAAAGTCATCCAATGTAAGGTGTGCGGTGAGACAGTCCATTTTAATTGGATTGAGAATTTAGTCTAACTAGAATGAACACTTTTTCAGATATTATACCAAATACCTTTGGGGTAAAAATTTGGGGCCAGATTATAGAACATATTAATATTATGTTTACAAGTACAAACTCTTATAGGTTAGGAAGATTTGAAATTCACTTTGTATAGTGAATTTCAACTTTTCCTGACCTAACAATGGTCAACTAAATTAAGCACATTTTAACAACAGGTACCTAAACGGTAGAAGCTGTTTTTTGTCTGAAAATTCTACTACCTTATGTATCCAATCATGTTTCCTTGACTGACTCTTGGATCTTCACACCTAGCCCAATGCCTCATACATCAGACTTTGCAATAACTATATGATGAAGAAAGAAAACCTGCTGAAAATACTTACAATCAAAGGGTTTTAAAACTCAAAGAAATTTGAGTTTATTGGGTTCATGAGCCAAAAGAAAAGAATTTATGTGTCATGAAATGTACAGCTCTTTCCATTTCATTCTTCCGTCACTGGTTCTAGAGGAGGAGTTTGTTCTGGCTTCCTTTGTCTCAGGAAGACTGCACCCTCTGGTGGAAGTGGTGTTAATGGCTCCTTTTGAAGGATGCTTTACCTATGCAGGCCCCTATCTCTAAAGCCAGGGAGAGCTGGAGGCTTAGGTTTGGATTTTAGTTCAGCCTATGATAGGGATGGTCTAATCCTAGTAGTCCTGATTTGTGAACAGGGCTCAGGCATTTAAAAAGTCTCTCCAGATTCTACTAATTAGATTAGGATCAATTTTCACCATTTATTTTTCCTAAATACATTGGCATAAAAGCAGAGCTTATACCTCATTGGTCTATTTCCTCTTAAGCCTCTGCCAAAGAAATGTACATAAAGTGGGGGAGGGTTAATTAATATTGATTGAATTATTTTAATTGTAGCTACCTTAACTTACTTAGAGTATTGTACCTGATAGATTAGATTAGAACATTTCTCTGGCTTCTTAGTTTTGCTGACCAGTATAAAGAAAGCTTCGATTCATAATATATTTAGGGCTAAATATATTCACAGTCTAATCCTGAACTTCACTTCTATTTTCAAGGAAAGAAAATCATACCAATATTCTGACCATGAAAACGTCCCAGTGCTTTCCTT
Organism: Homo sapiens; assembly: GCF_000001405.40. NCBI lineage: Eukaryota > Metazoa > Chordata > Mammalia > Primates > Hominidae > Homo > Homo sapiens. Next base: position 68,343,539 of record NC_000006.12, on the reverse strand, counting down.
CTTTATTTCAGCTCCTAACAGTAGCCTATAAAACGCAGGACTTATGAAAATATTGGCCATATTTTTAAACTGGAAAATCTTGCTCGGGATTGGCAAGTACTGGAATTATAGGCATAAGGACTGGAGAAAGATAATGAGCTTCTGAAGTAATCACCTTTTCCATCCTCCCTTATTGAAATGATGATGAATATCCCAGTGAGTGTCAAAGGCAGTCTGGCTTCTTTTTTATTCCGTTGCAGGACCAGGAGTCAGGAACTTCCTTAGTATCACCAAAAATCAACTGAGCCACCTTGGCATGTCTCCTTGATAACTGATGCATGCTTAAAACCCATTTAAAAAAATTTCCTAAGCATTAGCACGACAGTTGCATTTTAATATTATTAATGCCAGTCATTGAAACAGGTTTATTTTTAAATATATATAGAAAAATACAAAGCACAGAATCATTATATTCTAATTGTAAAAGTGAAATATTGGGAATGAAGTTTCAATTGTGTGTGTTTGCAATCAAAATAACGCAAAATCGTAATAATCACTGAAATGCAGGGTTGGAAGGGCTACTACTTAAAAGAGAGGCATACTGAATAATAAGAACTTACACAATGTACAATTTTTTAATACTATATTGGTATGTTATCTTTATTCATAGCATATTAGCAATTTTAAAAAGGTTTTGTTTCTAGAATAAAAAAATTCAAAAGCAAACTGAAGTTTCTATGAAAATGTTAGCGTTAGCAAATTAACTGAAGCTTAATAATAAATCATTGTGTGGACTTGCTGAGCACTTGCTAAGCACCATAGACTGATGAACTTATTTAATCTTTACAACAATTATATGAGCTATGGACTATTATGATCCTAATTTTACAGATTAAAAAAATCTGAGATATGAAAATATGTATCTTACCCAAAGTCATACCCACATAGTAAGTGTCAGAGTAGGAATTTGAATCCCAGAAATCTGGCAATAGAATTTGTGCTCTTAACCACCATGCTATATGCATTTGCTCCTCCGAGCCTAGAAACAGTGGGGACCATATTTGCCAGTGCAAGCTGCCAGAAGCCAGTAGCCAAGTGGCAGAGAGTGTACAGGAGCATCAGCTGTTGAGAGGCTCAGAAGTATTCAAGCTGCTACTACCTTATAGTACAAGGGAGTAGAAATGAGAGACAGGAAGCTGAATGCCAATCTAAGAGGCCTCTACCTCACTAGAGTTACACTGCCAGAAAAATAAATGTGCAGAATTTAATGAAGTTGCCAAATAAATTCATTTCTACTGAGATCAAAATAGGTTTTCTAATACTGAGTGATCAAAACAAACCTTTCCCCTGAAATAGCTATACTGTTTGCTGTTAGAGGGCATTCTCAGTCCTCTATCTAAAGCATTTTTCAAAAAGAGTAGTAAGCAGAAATGTACAGTGAGAAGAAATGGCTGGTACAAATCTAAGAGAGGGACCCAGAAACTAGAATACCTGAAGTATCATCTATTTCTGCTGCTCACTACCTTTGAGAACATGCATGTGTTGCCTAACCTCTCAGTGCATCACTGTCCTTGTTTGTAATGTAGAAACAATAGCACATTCACAGTCATATTTTAAAAAGTTAGATGACCATCTTGGTGGCTCCAAGTGCAGAATATGTAATGTGCAATTTTGTGAGTCACAAAATATTTTTAAAGGACTAATAAGCTAGAGAATTTAATATATTTTCTTTCCAGATCTTATTAAAATTTAAACTTCTAACTATTCTCAGAGTGAGCTAATAGCAATTTCTCCTTATTTTTTCCTTCATCTAGTTTATCTTAATTGACCTTTGTTAATCCTGCAAAAATTCCCTACACTCAGAGGTGGCATTTAGCAGGAATATACCTACGTACCTGAAAGATATTCTCATTGTCAGTGCCCATGCCATTCCTACTGTTAATATTGTGCTAATACTGTGATATATTGAATATCACTCCTGCTTTTATTAATATTATTATTCTTGTCTTACTCATTATTGTCCTTTTATTTCTTTTCAAGGATTCTCACCATCCAGAAGTCATACCAGGTAACGAGGATGAACATCAGCTCCTTTCTCATTTCCTAACCAATGCTGAACTGCAAATCTCACCCTCCCTCTGAATATCCTTTAGAAACAATGTGAAAAATAAATATCATCCTGGAACAGTCATGTTCAAAGGCCAAGGACTGGTTTTGGTGTGAAACTTTGCCCTGATCCTGAAGACTCAAGAGAAGCACGAATCTTTAGTGATATTAGGGATCTGGGAAGTCATCTAGATCAGTCCCTTCCTTTTATTGGAAAGAAAACCAAGGCCCGGGCATTAAATGTGTCATTCAAAGTCACAGAGGCTCTTCAGAGAAGAAGCAAGAATGGCAATCTCAGATCAATGGATGTGAACACTTTGGGTCACATCTGAAGAGCAAATTCTCTTGCTAACCTTTCTCCCTAGTCTGTCACCCTTTTTTCTAGCTTACACTCCTACCGTGTGCCAAGATAAATTTAAATACATTAATATTTAATTTACACAACCATTTTACAAGGTAGAGACAGTGGGAGAACAGCCTTGAAGAACAAAAAAAAGAGGTAAATTTGTATTTTGCTTCTATATTACAAATAAGGAAAGTGATTAATGGAAAGGATAAGCAACTTATGCATGTTTTCACTGCTATTGAGCAGCAGAAATGAGATGATAATGGACATGGTATTTCAAGTCCTCAGAATACCAGGGGAATGAGTATTGATAGCGAACAAAAGAGGATCAAGACTCAACCCCAGACACACCAGTATGAAGGATTGGAGAGAAGAGAATAAATTAGCAGAAGTACCTAATAAGGAGGAATTGTTGAGTTATAAGTGACCTCAAATATATATAGGGTCCTGGAAAATAAAGAGCTAGAGAGTATTTTGATAAGGAGGGGGTGATAAACTGTTTGGAAATCTGATGTTAGATCAGGGAAGATGAAGAAAGAACACTGACCTTTGCATTTAGCAACATGAAGGGCACTCCTGATGTTTACATAGCAGTTTCATGGAGAGGTTAAAGTTGGATGAGGGTGGATTAAGTAGAGAAAGGAAAAATGATTGAAGACAACAAGTATAGCAGCTCCAGAGGAATTTAACTGAAAAGGAGAGTAAGGAGATGAAGTTGTAGTTCTTAGGGTTTTGTTTTTAATAACTGGAGGATGTTTTATGATGAAGGGCATCATCCAAGAACTGAACCTTGGATAAATGGTTACATTTTATAAGTGATGGAAGAACTAAAGCCAGATAATAAGAAAATGAACAATTAGAAGAGATTTATAGAAGTTAAGAATGAGAATGACAAAACAATCCTGTTCTCTCCATACATTATATTTTTATATGGGTTTTGGAATAAATAGGTTACAATTTGAATAAAACTGATTTATGAAGACTGTTGAGCAAAGTCATGTTTCTGTAGGGGTGGTCTGTTTGAGGATACTGAATGCCAGGGACTGAGAGAAATCACTTGAGAATTGCCAGCTGTCCAGTCAAAGATATCCCAACAGGGTGGCACTATTTTGGTGATTTCATTACAGCCTAACAGTCAGAATTGGACTTGTGCTAATGAAGCTCACAGAGAACACAAATTTAATTATTTAAATTAGGCACATTCTCCAGTGACTAATGCTCAGAACATTATCATATTTTAACTTTCAGTCCCATTCTTTCATTTATTTTTAGTCTATCTCCCTTCTCTTCATATATTCTTCAAGCTCTATGAACACAGTTAAATGTAATTATTTTAATATGTGTTTCCTTAGTTACAGTCAAGTCCAGTCATGCCTCCCTAAAAGCATTCTTAAGTCACCTTGATCAAATTACAGGTGCATGAAGAATGTCTCTTAAATCAAATGATTTAAGTAAATGTGCCAATGATTACACTTATTCTAAATGTTGAAGCTCCCTAATTAATTGATCACAGGGTATCTTTTACTCAGTACAGGAAGAATGTTGTACATGCTTCTGTAATGCTTATGAATAGTGATTAGGTTCTCCTTTATGGTCATGTTGGATGTCAGTCATCCAGAGGATAGACAGGACCTTCAGAAAAGCCAGAAAATAACAATATTTCTCTAGGTTCCCTTTTTACATGTCAAGGAAAGATATTTAGGCATGTATTCATGGGAAAAAAGTACTAAATAACACCAGTTAGATGACAGTCTTCTGAGAAAGAGCATTGTCTATCAATTTGGTATTGCATTTTGTTACTAGCAACAGACATGAAAAAAAAAAAACTCAGTGAAATAAACTAAAATGTGAAAAAGTAAATAATGTAGGGTAGGTGTGATGACTCCATAATGCCACAACACTCAGGCTATCTCTTCTCTGCTCAACATACTTTGCAAGTGACTTTCATCCTCAAGACCATCTCATTGCCATTGGTAATCACTGTAGCTCCAGCTGTCATGTCTTCATGAGAGGCAGAAGGACTATAAAATACTGTCAGGTAACTTCAGCCCATAATAAAAAGTTTTCCAAAAGCATTCTCTAAAACTTCCACCTACATCTTATTGGTCATGACTTGGTTTGCTAAAATCATTGGTAATATAAAGTTTTGTAGCTGGACACAATGCCACTCCCCAAAAATCAGGGTTTTGCTACAATTGAAAAAGAAAAGAATGGATTTGGGGTGGGCAATAAACTTTCACCAAGGTTAAACTGGGTTATGGGCTCTCTTGGGGATTATTTTTTTAGATATCTGATGATCTAACTCTTTACTGAGGCCTTAATTTCATTTCAGTTTGTTACATCTAAGGTTTTAATTTTATTTAAATGTTTCTGATTGATTTCTGATATTGCTATATTCCACCAGATTTTTAAGAGTGGTGCTCCAAGGATAGGTGATTTGCAAACTCACTGTTTACATTTACAGTCGATTTTCTCTTTATTGTTTTGAAAAATATTTTTCAGACCTATTTTGTTAATAGCTACCCCCTAAACTTATATAGTGCTTTTGGCAAAATAAATCATTTATTTCATACATAGTCTTCCATACAGTAATTTTTATCTCATTATGTTAAATACTATTGCCACAACAAGTTTGCTGAATTTTTGTGTAATTTATCTTTCCAAAGCTTAAATGATTTATAGTACTTCAACAACTATGATTATTAACTTGGCCGTCCAGGTTTGTTTACGATGCAGTCTTTTTCCAAATACAAGGACATAAAATTTTTACTCATACAATTCTCAAAATTTTAATAATGTTATCTTTTTAATGTACCCGTTTACAATAGTTGTTGGTTCATGATGATGGCACTTATATGTGGATGCGAGTTTTTTGCCTTTCTGTTATAATACAAAATAATAAATATTTGTAAAATGTCCATATCTACTAGGAAGTTAAGATCCAATTTTAGACTAAACTTTTTTGCTAATTAATAATATATACTTACTGAATACCTATCCTGTATCAGAATAGTAATACTTTTCAGAAATACAAACATCAGTAATAGTCCTGATTTAATGACAAAACATGTAAACTAACACAATGCAGCATGACGAGTGCTGCAATAGGAGCATCAGCTAGAATAGTGGCCCAATGTTGGCATGATTTCTTTTTATGAGAATCAGAGCAATGGCTCTCAGCACTTACACTTTCTCAGAACCAACGTTAGGAATTAAAACCAATACTGGGGCCTCACTTGTAAAGATCTAGAGATTTCTCAAATGATTTTAAGTAACAGGTTGGGGAGGGTAGATATTGGATTAAAGAAAGCAATACTTGTGCTGATTCTTGAGAGTGGGGCAAGAGTTTTCCCAGGAAAGGACATATTAGGCAAATATAAAAGCAAATTTAGGCCGGGCATGGTGGCTCACACCTGTAATTTCAGCACTGTGGGAAACTGAGGCAGAAGAATCACATGAGCCCAGGAGTTCAATACCAGCCTGGTCAACATAGGGAAACCTCGTCTCTACACACAAACACACATACACACACACAAAAAATAGGTGGGCATGGTGGTTTCACCTGAAGTCCCAGCTACTCAGGAGGCTGAGGTGGGAAGATTGCTTGAGTTCAGGAGGTTGAGACTGCAGTGAGCTGTGATCCTGCTATCGCATTTCAGCATGGGTAGGTGACAGAGCAAGAGCCTGTCCCAGGGGAAAAAAAAAAAAAAAGCAAGTATGATCACCAATGGAGGCACTGTGACTGTTCTAGTGTAGCAAGAATAACAGGGAAGAGCAGAGTTGATTTGAGCCCGGTTTTAGATGTGGACAGAATTAGAGGCACTCCTATTGCCACACCTGGAAGTTTGAAACTGTCCCTAAGCCCAACATTTTTCAAATTGTGTTCATTAAGTATGTGCAGCCTCCTTGTCTATGCCACAGAATTTATGAACATATAGGTTTGGGAAATGCTGCATACTATTCTCTCTTCCTGGATATTCAACAGGCCTACAACTTCAAAATACCCTGAGAGGCCTACAGCAATGAAAAGAATTATGTCTGCAATTTCCTAAGCTCATTTATCTATGGAACTTTGTTTCTCTTCCCCTAATCCCATTTTGAGTTTCCAATTGATCTTCTTTGGGACACAATATAAAATATAATGTTATGAGCAAGACAGAAAGCTTTGAACAGGGCATCAAATCAATGTACTTAGTGTGTCTCAGCAATCCATTTTAGTTGTCATATTAAATTGGGAGCTTGGTAATACTGGAGACTTGAAACCAGTTAACAGGCTATTGTGCCATTCTAAAAAGAGGATTGAAAGTTCTTAAGCGACGAAATATAAGTGGAGGGAAAAATAGAGAAAGGATTTGAGAGATTTTTAAAAGAGAGTATGAGAGGATTTATGGATAATGAAATAAGAAAGAGTCATTCAGGAACAGGTAATAAAGTCCAGATTCCTGCCGAAGAGAATAGAGGATATTTAAATGGGAATACTTACATATCCATATGCGACAATCATAGTCCTGCAAAAGATGCTTTAGTTTGAAGTGGAAAGAGACAGATGGCTATTAGTAGTGATCAAAGTTTCCTGTTATAAAATAGTGAAAAATGCAAAGCAAATGTTTTAGCTCAAAATGATGTTATTTCCCTCATAAGAACATTTGACTGTAATGTAATTCAGCAAAAAGAAGTACGATTTTTTGACATAAATGTGCATTTACAAATGTTTTTGGAACATATGTATTTTGTCAGTGAGGTAGTACTGGTAGTACCAGGATGAGACTGAGAAAATTGCATGAACTCTCAGTTTGAACAAAGAATACACGGCAAAAATGTGATCTGAGAAATAATATGCCAGTGATGGACTAGAAACCAGAAGATGATGGCTTGATATATTTCTGCAGCACATGTGAGCGTAATAGAGAATAGAGAAGCAAGTCTTTATTAGTAAGTTCTATTTTTAGCACCTTAGTGCTAAATTATATATTTGGTCCAATATTGCAGTATTTGAAGGACAGAGGATCCATAAATCCTAAAATTTTGTTATTGGATACCCTCCTATTTATTTTTAATTTTTTTTAGCATAAAATTCTCTCAGTCTGTGTGCCATTACCATAAGTTGTTCATCAGTCTCAATGACAATTAGGTGTTTCTACCACACTAATGAGCTTAGAATTTTGGAGATTAGTGATTGCTGATAAAAATAGTTTTTCATAATTTTTGTAACAGACATAATAAGGTAAAACTAACAATTTAATATGTGTCTAGTATGCCTTTGAGTGGGTCTTACATCTACTACAATATAGACTATAGGAATATTTGTGTGTCACAATTGAAATAATGTCAGGTTAAGTAAACATTTTCACTGTCTTCAAATATTATAAAAATATAAACCTTAGACTATAAACAAAATTTATATTAATATCTACCCTTAATAATTTGAGTGCAAAATACCTAATTTCAATCAAATATTTTTAAAACCAAGCACTCAAACATGATAGTATGAACATATTGAGTAAGAATGAGTGTTTCAATATGAATATATTTGGCTATCTAATGAATACATGGCAATGTGTAGCAATGTCTGTGAAATCTCGGGTGTTTTATTCCATTTTCCTTTCTTGCCTTTCTTTTGATCATAAGGAGAAACAGACAGTTCATGTCTAAAGAAGTATAGGCCCATCTGCTTCTCATTTTGACTTTCTTTGTTTTTTAAAGTTTTAAACTAATTTTTAGACTAATCATAAAGCTGATCTAAAATAATTTTTAAAGTTGGTGCTGAAAAAGACAGCTAAAAATTCTCATCTCAACTTACATATTTTTGTGAAAGTATCTGATATTTCATCATCAATTTATTTCTCTTCCAGAGAAAGTTAATATTGGCTTTATAGATTTCCACTGTTGTAAATAGAGTAAAAATTAACAGATAAGGAAAAATTAATATATTCTGATTAATGTATCAATATACTATTAATATATATCACATTAATAGTATCTATCCACATAGATTTCTTAATGATGTGAACCTAATTTTATCTTCAAATAAACATTACTATCTTCTATAAATAGATTCCATCTATCCCAATCATAAAATCAACTATTTATGTACACACATTTTTTTGCTGGTTTTTTTTCATTTGTTTACTTTTCCTTCATTGACTGATTATTCAGCAGAATGGTGTCTGCTGGTAAAAGAGGGCTAAATTAATTATCTTTATGTCGAGGGATTCAGCTGTCAAAAAAACTAAAATTGTCATTATTAATAAAATAAATATGCTTAAGTTATTTAGTTGTGTCATAATGAACAGTTGTAAATGGCATTAAATAAATAAAAATAGCATTTTGATTTCTGTCATGCACTGTCCTTGTTTATATGATTTAAGCATATTACTTCCATTGAGATTGAGGGATTCTGTGGGAGAGACTTCGGAGAGTAAAAAACTCTAAATAAATTTTTTTATTTTATTTTAAAAAAAGAAAAAGAAAAATGAAACAACCAGCAGAATCCGTTTTCTTACCTACTCCATCAGCTGAAATAAGGGCCAAGTGCTATATATGTAAAGCAAAAAACAAAAAAACACATTCAATGACTCATGGCATCTGGGATTGTGATGACTGAAAATGTTTCAAGGGACGCACTTGTGAGTGCTGGTCAGCATTATCAACAGTTCTCAGGGAAAGGATTCTGCTCAGCACCATGACTTGATTCGCAATGCATATTGGAGAATGGTGAGAGAAACATGTAGCACAGAAGATGCTTTCGTGTAGGTTTTAAAGAGGAAATAAATTAGTTCAGTAGAGCTGCAGGTGAGTGGTAGAAACTAAAACATAAATCACAAGTATAATATTCCTGCATATTTTCCATAATGTGAATGGAGAGGTTTTGTATTCTAAAATCATTCAGAGATTCTTAGAGCTCTGTCTCTGAATATGAAGGAAATGTGTTTCTTGGGTATTAAACTTCCTAGCATAACTAGGTAGTAAGTGTATTTGTCTTATTTTTCAGATATTCCCAGAAGAACAGGGAAGGGGAAAATGTGTGAGTGGGAACATTTAAATACAATGAATTAATTCATAAGTGATATTATGGATTATAATGTTACTTTCACAGTACCTTATTATATTACCCTATAGGGCTTTGTCAAGTATGCAGGTCATTAATGTCTACATGATTGGTCCTATGGTGGATAAAGCAAATTGGACTCTCAAGTTGGGCCTATATTACTTACAGGAACAAATACCAAGCAATTAGGCCATCAGTAATTATTTTATAGAATTATATGTTTTATAGAATATATTTATATTCTAAAAACCATGTATATAAAATAAAATCATAAACCATGACTTAATTATCTGCTTGACATCTTACTTTGGTGTATTTTACAGTGGTGAGAACTTGTCTGGAATTTGTTGAACAGTCTCTACTTACCAAGAAGCCAGAGAAAAGTTTGGCTGACCTCCAAGCAAGCTGCACAAGCTCATGCTCATTAAAGGCTCATAAAGATGCTATTAGGGATTACAAAGGATCTGGCCATGGTCCCCATGGTTCTAGCTGCCACTGGTTTCCCATAGAGCCCTAGGCTGGATACAATCTGTAGTGTCCCTGGAAAAGCACAGGTGGATTCTGTATACTTTGTGGTCTGAATATTCTTCACCTAATGACAACAGATGTGGTAGGTAGAATAACACTCCCTCCTACCAAAAACAACAACAACAACAGCAACAAAAACCCATAGATGTCTACCTTCTAACCTACGGAACCTGGTAATACATTAATTACAGGGTAAAATGGTATTAAGATTGCAGTGGAAATGAAAGTTGCTAGTCATTTTACCTTAACATAGCAAAGTAATCCCAGATTATCTCAGTGGACCCAATGTAATTACTAGGATCCTTAAAAGTGGAAGACAGAATTGAAAGAGAGAACTATGCAGTATCATTAAAACTTCTTGGTCTGATGTTACTGACTTTGAAGATGGAGGAAGGGGGCCATGAGTGAGCTAAGGAAAGAAGGTGGCCCTAAACAAGCTGGAAAAGGCAAGAAAACAGTTCTTGTCCAATGGAGTAAATCCCATGACATAAATCGATGTGTGAAGTTTCCTTGACAATCAGCAGATTGGCATAAACTTGTTACTTCATTCTTCTTAGCAAGCACGAGAATAGTGTTACAAACAGTGTTGGAAATTTCCTAATCCGTATGCTTCATTTTGAGGCTATTATTCACCGCTGATGTTGTTTCCAGTCCTTGACTGCTCTCTGAAGCTTCACATTTGAAAAATTATTATAGCTACAGTAGCACATGGTCAATCTCATGTTTGTTTGATTAAAATATTGTAGAGACCAACATGCAGGAGCTAGCAAAGTAGTAATCATCTATTCTGAGGTCAAGCAGGATAACTACTCTTCCTAAGAATATTTCGTCCCTTGAAAGAAGTTCTGGCAAGGTAGGTGGTTGGCAACAAATAGTGACCCTTACATGGTGATCCTGAAATCTGTCTCTAATTTCTGCTCTCCTTTATTTTATCAGTGAGACAATGATGAAATCTCATATTTCATAAGATTTTAAGGATGTTGCCACTTAAAGGTTTTGTGAAACTAAATGTATTCACAACACAGTTTTAGTTTATGAGTTTGAATTCACACTCTTGAACATAAAATCTAATCCTAATGTACAGTCTTTCTACTCCTAAAATTGGAAGGAGTATAACATGTTCCAAATTACAAATAACATACATTACAAATTACATATATTACAAACACAAATAATTTTTCAATTTAAATATGTCTCAAGAGCATTTTTTATGGTTTCCTTATCTTCTTTCAATATAATGTGCCTTGGTAATAAAATAGAGAAGTATCTACATAACTATAAAGGGAAATCAATCCATATGGCTATGACAAAATAGAGAAGTATCTACATAACTATAAAGGGAAATCAATCCATATGGCTATGATAATATAGATTATTATCATAATATTTTGACTATGACAGGTAATTTCTAAAAATTAAAAAAGGATTTTATTTAAACACAATAATTTTTATAATTCACATGTTAATTTTCAGTAAATTATTGTTTCTCAATGGATAATTTGATCAATATCAATATCTCATAGCAATGGCAGATTGTTGTTATTATAAAAGAGCAGCATTTTTGAAATATTTATCATCTGCTGATATTTAGGCTTAACTACTCCCATAAGGCTGCATACCTATTAAACACTTTATAAAGGAAAAATGAAATTGTAAATGCTTGCAATATGATTTTTTCTTAATTAATATCATTAAATTATACAAAGCCTAGAGAGTGAAGTACATCTTACCAATTCATGAGAGACAGGGTCCTCTGTTTGCTACTTCTAGTATGTATTTAGTTGTCATTTCTACTAGAATTGAAAATACTGAAGTTCTGTTACTAGAAGGGGGTGTTTTGATTAGTAAAGATCATGGTTTCCATGGAACACTCAAATGATGAGGCTGTTTTATGGAGGAGGCAGATTGGATGACCCAGACTTCTCAACAGTCTGAAGAGCCCTGCTGGGCAGTCATTCCCTACATCTGGAGATGACAGAAACTATTTTTTTCTGGTCTTAGATAGTGCCTTCTGGTATCTGTGCACACACATGGAACAGAGATCCTGTCACCCTGAAAAATCCCGTCTCCCTGCACTCCAATCTCTTCAATGCACATTTATTTTCTTGAGTTTTTTTCTTAAATCCTCATGGGCTTGAAAGCATTACTAGGATTGAGTTTCTTAAGGTTCAGGATACAAAAATGGAGTAAAGCAAAAGCAAATTTTATTCTATCCTAACTGTTCATACTCCTTAATTTGTTGACATGTTTTCATTTGTTTTCAACCTTTAAAATCAAACTGCAGCTAGAAGCATACAAATACATTGTAAATATTAAGATATTAGCTAGTTCTTGCTCCTTTACACACTGCAGATTATGAGAAATTTATTTCATAATGGTAAAGGTTAAAATTGAAATGTCTCACATTATTCCACAAGTGACACAATATGGCAAAATTATTATTCTATAATAAATGTTATTATATTAAAAAGAGTTCTTTTAAAAGGTAATCTTCAATTTTTATAAGTTATTTAGAGTTTTTAGGGACACTAGAGGGTGTTAAAATATATTTCCCTAATACCGGAAGAGTACATTGCACTATAACTTTCTTGAGGCGAGAGTACAGTATGGAATGCAAATCAATACAAATTTAGTTTAAAAGGCTTATTTTAAGAATTTCATCAATTTTCTGCTTTCATAGAAAACTGAATGGAACAGTAGAAAAGCCCTATTATATTCATTTTCATAATTATTAAACAATTAAGAGAAGTCATTGGTATTTTCTTTTACAGTTGAGGAAACCATGGTTCAGACAGGTAAAATCTCACAAAATCACATAGCTTGAACTTACTGAATTTTGTATTTCAAAGACTACCAGTTACCTCTCGCTTTAATGAAAACAATGATGAGATGACATGAAAGTCCAGGGACTTTCACTGTATCAGTAAGATGTCATGCTTCCATATTGATTTCCTGTGTAAAATATGCAATTTCAAAAGGCTTTCAATTCTTATTAGTGGAAACTCCTCTTTAAAAATCCTACTAATTAGTCATAAATTCTCTGTCTAGGTCAATATCCAGTAACAAACTTGCACATGTACCCCCTGAATTTATAAGTATATATAGATATTTTTTTTTAAAAAAATCTTACTAATTAATGTGTTGCTTATCTCACTCCTGTCCTGTGACATTTCTCCCAATCCCACATGCCAGGATACATCATTCTAGCATTTCTGTGATCTTCCCTTGCTCTGAAAATATCTTTATTAAAAAATAGAATATTTCCTTTTTAGCAAAAATGTTATTTTTTAGATTCTGCAGTTGTCTTTTTTACTATTTTCTGAGCTCTAAGTTGTCTCTTTTTGTTTCTAGGATGGCACATCTCAGTATCTTTTGAGTTAAGACAATGATGGGTTTAAGGAATAGCCTTCTGTTTTGTAGCCACTCCATGAAATCTTGGGGCCTGACAATCCCTGGATAACAGGAAATCTTTATACATGTAGCTGGTTTAAAGGGACTTCCAATGAATACTTCTTTTTAAGTAGAAGGTTCTGAATTATCAGTAGATAAGACCAGTATAACCGTTAGAATCTTTGGGAGCACACCCGATTACATACTTGGACTTTAGTTTTTGACAGAGCCCTGAGCAACTGCTCACAAGGGAAAGCATATGTAGATTGAAGCTATGCAGAATGAAGTCTCAACAGCTGAAGCTTACTGGGGAACCAATGGTGCCCTAAATTAAGATAATTTATGAAATGTTGTAAGTCTATAACATTCTTCATGGAAGTCAGTTAGGGAATGGAAAGTTTTGAGATAGAGAGATATAATTATATAGCAATATGCAAAATATACAATAAATATATTCCAGTTGATTTTAGGCAGAAAATATGAAAATAGGATTTTCCTATCTTATTTACTGTTTTTTTTTTCTCCTATTCTAAGGCTTATTTTTTTAAATAAACATTTATACAAATGTAGTACCAGTTATGAGAAGAATCAAAAAATATTTGTTCAGATGCACCTATACAACCAATAGGGTTTTATATTTGTTCAGATACATCTATAAAACCAATACAATTTTTTTCCATTAGTAATTTTAAGCTCATATTTATAAATTTATTCATGCATTTGAGACAGTTAGATGTATCCTCAGCATTCAGATTTGTTCACTGATGTCTTGAAATATACTAAAATTTAAAGGCCTTACAAGATTAAGAAATTGGCAAGAAAATATAAGAAAATACAACCTGAATTCTTGAAATGTTAATCACGTTGTAAATTTATCCTCATCTTAAGCTTTTATTTCCACATAATATTTATAAATAACATAAACAATATTTTAGATATAACAAAATTATTAACAAATTAAGAATTAAATATTTTATCATTTACAATTCAATTAGGAAAAATGTGTTTACAGTAATCTCAGATTAAGAAAAAATATCGGTATTCAGATTTTGGCTTCTACCTTTGTGGTAATATAATATACATTTACATTATTCTTTATGCTGATAAGTTAAAACTCTAATTGCTGATACTACACAATCATGAACTGAAAACATGTGTTTGCTTAATGTCAAAATTACATATTTTAAAACAATTACAGTTGTTATTTAATTATCCCATACCTGGTATATGACCATTTATTCACCCTAAACTTGTACACTTCAAATATCTCTTTTTAAATGCTATATTTGTAGAATAATGAATAAATAATATTTTAGATAGATTTGTTAAACATTAATTCTACTTTCCTATATTTGCTCAATATCAAAACATTCTGCAAATATATGATAAAGGATTGGTTTCCAAGACAGTAGGTTGCTTGAAGAAACCATTTTAGATGTTAGGACTGCTATAAACTGAATTGTATTTCCCCACATTCATATGTTGAAGCCCTAACCCCCATTGTGATGGTATTTGGTGATGAGGTCTTTGGGAGGTAATTAGGTTTAGCTAAGGTTATGAGGGTGAGGAATTAATAATGAGATTGACATCCTATAAGAAGAGATCAGAGAGCTTGCTCTCTCTAGTTCCCTCTTTCTCAGCACCCTCACAAAGAAGTCATGTGAACATAGTAAGATGGTGGCCATATGCATGCCAGGAAAAGAGCCTTTACCAGAAAGCAACCATAATGGCACAATAATCTCACGCTCCCAGCCTCTGAAACTCTTAGAAAATAAATTCCTGGTATAAGCCACAAAATCTATGGTATTTTGCAATGGCAGACTAAAACAAAAACTTTTTCATAATTAAGAAGCCTTCTTTTATTAAAGAATCATGTTGCAAATATTCTGTACTCCCAGTGATGAATATGTATTACATTTCCTGTGAATAATGATGTGGGAATTTTGGTAATCGAAAAATTATATAGTGCATATTTTTATATATGAAACTCTAGGAGACTAAATGCATAGAATCTTCGTGTATGTATTTTCTTCTAAATGTATAACAGCTGGAAAATGATTAAATAAATAATAGTTCATTGATACACTAAAAAATATTTCATTAATTGGCATAAAAATATTTGTATGTCTATTAATTACCTAGGAAATTCTTACCATGTAATATTCACTGAGAAAATAAACTACTTGTCATTTGCTATTATTCATGTCAAGAATATAGTATGGACTGCTATTTTGTGTGTATATGGAGATTGTAGATATAGAGATTCTGTTTTATTTAATGGGTGAGTCACATTTCATTTTATCCAGCTACTCCTGTTTTGATGGATATTCAGTCTATTTCCAAATGGCCCACTATAATAATGCTTATACAATAATCCTTGTGTAGGTGGCATTACATACTTATATAATTACTTATATATTTTATTTTATGTGTTCATTTTTGTATTTATTTATTTATTTTAGATACAATTCTTGAAGTGGAAGTGTAGGTAAAAATAGGTACATTTTAATTTCCTACAGTGATTTGTAATTCAGATATTCAAAAGTCATTTTTTCTTTGCAATCATAGTTGTTTTAATTTTATCATAGTCTAAAAAATTTTTCTTTTACATATGATGTAGGAAACATGGGGTTTTCAATAAAATTGTGAAAGATAATGTTACAGTATTTTTTTTATAAAATTTGAACATCATGCAATACATTTAAACGTACTGAAAACTTTTTTGAGACTAGATTTTCTTTTCAGTTGTAAAGTAATGGCAAATAATTTGTTTTAAATATGGAAAATGTAAAGAAATAAATTCAGGCATACTTTCATTACCTAGAGAAACCACTCACATTTTAATATATTTTCTCCCTGAAAAAAGCCTATATCTGCATACGTGTATGTATAGATATAGCTGTTTATCAATTCTATGCATTATTTACATGACTGTGTTGTTTCTTTAACTATAAATATTTGCATTTTCTATGTCATCATAAATTCTTCAACAACATGTTTAACAGTCTCTTGGGTATGCCAGTTTGCTTATCCACTCTTGTTTGTTTGTTTGTTTTGTCTTTTGAGAAAGGGTCTCCCTCTGTTGCTGCCCAGGCTCCAGGCTGAAGTGCAGAGGCATGATCTTGGCTCACTGCCGCCTCCTCTTCCCAGGCTCAAGCGATCCTCCCACATTTGCCTCCTGAGTAGCTGAGACTACAGGCAAGTGCCATCATGCCCCACTAATTTTTGTACTTTTTGTAGAGATGAGGTTTTCCCACCCTGCCCAGGCTGGTCTTAAACTCCTGGGCTCAAGCGAGCTGCTTGCCTCGGCCTCCTTAAGTGCTGGGATTACAGGTGTGAGCCACTGTGCCCAGCCCTCTTCACAAAATTTCTAAGCAGCTTTCCAACTCGGTTGTTCTAGGTTAACTTCCCAATTGTAATCTCCAGGAATGAAAATTGCACTAAATCCTGTTCAAATACTTTTAAATAGATACAAGCCTTCATGTACTGTTGGGATGTCTTGGCTGACTCTCACAGGTATCTGTTCTCATCACACTCAATCTTTTTCAGGATCAGCTGTCATATTTGTCAATATCTTTTTTTCTTAAAGAAATTTATTTTCCTTATTTTCATCTTTTCTACCTGGCTGTTCATTCTAGATTATTTGCTGGCCCTCTTTGTCTGATTGACCTCCAAATATTGGAAGAGTTAAAGGTTCAGTTTTTGGCCTTTTTTGTTAAACTTCCAATAATTTCTCTTTAGGTCCAGTCCCATCTCTAGTGCTATAGTATTTCCTAAACTTTGGATTCTCATACAGAGCTTCCAGTAGACCTTTCCTGAGGATTACAAACTGAGCAGGTTCATACCATAACAATTAAGATTCAATCTTTCCCATTTTACCTAATGTCAACACTTCTGCGAAGTTTCCAATCTAAGACCTGGGTGTCATCCCTGATTTTCCACACACCAAGTCCATTGGCACAACTTGTTGGTTTACTTTTAATTTATATTCAAAATCTCATTACACTAAATCATTTTCACTTCCAACATTCAAGTCCCAGTTAACTTCAATATCCTTCTATGAACTGAAATAATGTATTCCCCTACCCCAGCCTTTTTCTGAAAGAAATAATCTAAAGCAGTACTGAGAATATTTTGTTATATATTTTGCCATCTATGTAATAGAAAATACGCTGAATGTTAAGCAAAATGCATCTATCATTTTCTTGCTACCATGACATTGGTTGAGAATGTGATTATCTTATACTATCTTGGTGTGTCTCCAAATATTAAGCCACTGGGCTTACTATTAGGTGCTAGATAAATATGTATTTTGTGCTGGCACAGAGTAGGCACTAAATAACAATTGCTTTCAAATGGGTAATGAAAAGACATTTTTCCCCATTAATTGATTATTAGGAGCACAAGCATCATCTGAAATAATTATTTAAACACAAATAAATTTTCAAGTGATCTTGAAGAATATGGGGTTTTGTTTTCTTTTCCAGTAAAGTTGCACTTGTCAGCTCTGGGTTTCTGTTATTCTGAGATCTCTTATAATTTGCTGAGAGAACAAATGAACTGTAATAATTATAATGCATTTTTTATAATTGGTGTCACACTTTTGCCTGGTAAACAATTACAATATCAACAAAATACTGAATGAATGATTTTGCCCCTTTGCTTTTTAGAACTGTGAGGATAACCTCTATATTTTCAAATGCCAAATATATGTTTATGTCATATTTTGGTGTCATGTACCACTGTGTTGGATATTATTTTTAATGTGGCTCATTGAAATGTCACATGTTATTTGTTTTCCTTTTCATTATATACGGAAAAATAGTCACAAAGTGGAGTAAAGATTATCACTGATCACTGCCTTTACCAATTTTCTTAAAAATGGAAATATAAAGTAAACACAGAATTCTGGAAAATAAGATATATTTTGATTATTGATTTTAACTTTTTAAGCTTTCACTGAAGTATGATACATATATACATTCACATATGAGTTTAACATTCACAGTCAGTTTTTACAGAGTTTTATATAACTGTGCAAAAGGCATCAAGATCACAAAGTAGACTATTATCACCACATTATAAGATCTCACCTTCCCATGACTCTCCTAGTTATTAACCCCCTCCCACAGGTTAACCACTATTTTGACTTTAAGCAAAATAGATTCATCTTGTTTGTTTTAGAAATTTACATAAGTGAAATTATATATTATGTTCTCTTGTACATATATTTTTCCACTAAATATTATGTGAATGATATTCCTTATTGTTGCACAAACTTGAAGATTGTTGTCATTGCTATACAGTATTTCATTGTTTGTATATAGTGTAATTTATTTTTCCATTCTACTGTTGACATACACTGGAGAAATTTCTAGTTTTTGGCTATTATAAATAGTTCTACTGTGAACACATATGTACTTTAAGGTGTACATACTAGAATAAAATATTTTTGTCATAGCATATGCATATGTTTAACTTTAGTATACACATTCAAACACCTTGCATACAGGTTGCACCACATTGTTCACCTACAAGTAGGGTATGAGAGTTCTGGTTTCTCTCGATCTTTGCTAACATTTGCTATTACATTATTATTATTATTATTATTATTATTATTTACTCTTTAGCTATCCTGCAGAGTGTAGCAGAATGAAGATGCATTGTAATTCTAATTTGTATTTATCTGATGATTATTAAAGTAAATAAACCACTTTTTTACGTACTTACTGGCCATTTGGGTATTCTTTTTGTGAAGTGTCCATTCAAATTTCTATCCATGTTTTAGCTTTTACAAATCTATTTAACATACGAAAAGAACATTAGCTTTGATGTCCTTTTCATTTATTAAATAGATTTGTAAAAGCTCTTTAGCTTTTGTTGTTTTTTTATTGCAAATATTTTTCCCAACCTGTGAGTTTCATTTTTTTATCTCTATTGATGATATATTTTGATAGAATTTCTTAGTTGAAATAGAATAACTTCATAGATATTTTTTAGCATTATGGTTAGTGTGAACACTAATTTCCATAAGCTGCACCTTAAATATTTTGAAATCTTCTTTATGAAAGTAATAAGCATTTGGACATAAAGGTCTATTTTATACCCTGAATCTTCACGCCTGTAATCCCAGCTACTCAGGAGGCTGAGACAAGAGAATTGCTTGAACGCGGGAGGCGGAGGTTGCAGTGAGCTGAGATCGCAACACTGCACACCAGCCTAGGCGGAAGAGCAAGATTCTGTCAAAAAAAAAAAAAAAAAAAAAATAGATCGACCTTAGGCAAGATCAGTTCATTTCCCCTTGCCTCAATTTCCACACTGTCAGATAGGGAAAAAAGGAAATAATGACTTTATTGAATTAAATTATAGAATAAAATAAGATATCTTATAATGGTGAAATGTTATTATAAAAACCAAAGCACAATACAAATATAATGATAAAGAGAACTATGCGATTTTCCATCTTTGGCACAATAGCCTGTATACTCAAATTTATGCCATGGCCATTAATCAATGTTCAGGTTGCAATACCTCTAACATAAATAATTGGAATAAAATCCCATTAATTACCTTACCTTAGTTATTTTCTATATAATCCCAATAAATTTAAATTTTATAGTAGTCACACAGTTCTTGTTTGGAGCCCACCATTTAAAATCAAGTGTCCTATAGTACATCAGTTAATATATTACCTATACACTATAAAGCATGCAACCATGAAGTATTTTCATTTTAAGAAATTATTTTTCAAATATTTTAATATAACATACATAAGTCAATAAGATTTGCCTGTTTATCTGTGCATACAATTAACGTTTATTGAAAATCTAAGTTATTATCAGTCAGGATAAACTTGATTATACTTCATAAAAAATAATTCTAGCCTTTTTGTGGAACAAAACATCTAAGTTATTTTTGATCAATAAAACTAAGAGTTGTTTAATTAAAAAACAAAGAATAAACAAAACTCACCAATCATTAGCTAGAGTAAGAAAAAAAAAGAGAGAGGACTTAAAATCAGAAATGAAAGAGGAGACATTACAGTTATAGCACCGACATACAAAGGATCAGAAGAGACTACTATGTACAATTATATGCCAACAAATTAGACAACCTAGAAGAAATAGATAACTTCCTAGACACATACAACAAACAAGACCGAATCATGAAGAAATACCAAATCTGAACAGGCCAATGAAAAGTACGATTGAACCCGTTATGAAAAGTCTCTCATCAAAGAAAAGGCCAGGACCTCTTGGCTTCTCATGTTCTATCAAACATTTAAAAAAACAGAACCAATTATTTACAAACTCTTCTAAAAACATCAAAGAAAAACTGTTTTTTCCAAACTCTTTTTATGAGATCAGCACATGCTGATACTAAAGGAAAATAAGAATGCTATAAGAAAAAAAAATTACAGCCAATATTCTTGATGAACATAGATGCAAAATTCTCAACAGAATACCAGCAAACTAAATTAAAAAACAAAATAAAAGAATCACTGATTATGACCAAATGGAATTTACCCCTGGGCTGCAAGAAAGGTTCAATATACACATATCAATAAATGTGATACATCACATTAACAGAATAAAAGACAAAAATGATATGATCCCCTCATTACATGTAGAAAAAACATTTGACGATATTCTACATACTTTTAGGAAAAAAAATTCTCTACAAATTAGCTATAGAAGGAGTGTACCTCAACAAAATAAAGACTACAGATCATAAGCCCACAGCTAACATTATGCTCAATGATGTAAAATTGAGAGCCTTCCTCTGAAATCTGAAACAAAACAAGTATGCCCACTCTCAGTATTCCCATTCAACGCAGTATTACAAGCCCTTGACAGAGCAATTAGGCAAGAGAAGGAAATAAAATGCATCAAAATACCAAAGAAAAACATAAAATAGTTGTTGTTTTCTGACAACATGATCTTATACATAGAAAACTCTAAAGATCCCACCAAAAAACCATTAGAACTAACAAATAATATGGTAATGTTACAGCCTTGACTTTGAATTACCAAATATTGTCAACACACAAAACAAGTAGCATTTTTATACACTAACAACTAAATTTTTAAAAAAGAGAACAATCCCATTTATAATGATTATAAAAATGGAACACTTAGGGATAAATATAACCAGGGTGAGTGAAAGACTTGTACAATGAAAACTATAAAACATTAATGAAAGAAATTGAAGAAGATATAAATAAATGCAAAGACATCATATGTTCATGAATAGAAAGAATAAATATTGTTAAAATGCCCATATTACCCGAAGTGAACTACAGATTCAGTGCGACTCTTACCAAAAGTCCCATGACTTTTTTTTATATAAAAATAGAAAAGGCAATTCTAAAATTCCTATGGAATCACATAAACCTCCAGAAAGGACAGTTTCCTCAATAAATAGTGTTGGGAAAACTGGATATTCATATTCAGAAAAATGAAATTGGACTCTTATCTCACACCAAATACAAAAATCAAGTCAAATTGGATTAAGGACTTAAACGTAAGGCATGAAATTATAAAATGACTAGAAAAAAATATAAAGGAAACACTACAAAACATTTGTCTGGGGAATTAATTTTTAGATTTGACCCCTAAAGTGCATACAACAAAATCAAAGATAGACAAATGGTATTTCATCAAAATAAAAAGATTTTGAACAACAGAGATGACAATTAACGGAGTGAAGAGGCAACATTTAGGCTGGCAGAAGCTATCTGCAAGCCATATATCTGACAAGGGGTACATATCCAAACTATGGTAGTAACTCAAATGAGCCTATATAAAGAAAACAAATAATAAAACACCGCATGTTCTCACTCATAGGTGGGAATTGAACAATGAGAACACATGGACACAGGAAGGGGAACATCACACACCGGGGACTGTTGTGGGGTGGGGGGAGGGGGGAGGGATAGCATTAGGTGATATACCTAATGCTAAATGACGAGTTAATGGGTGCAGCACACCAACATGGCACATGTATACACATGTAACAAACTTTCACGTTGCGCTCATGTACCCTAAAACTTAAAGTATAATAATAATAATAATAATAAAAGAAAACAGGCAAGAGACCTGAATAAACATTTCTCAAAAGAAGACATACATATAGTCAACATACATATGAAATAATGCTCAACATCACTAATCATTAAGGAAATACAAACTAAAACTACAATGAGACGTCACTGGAAATCTCCCAGAAGGGCTATTATCAAAAAAAATGAAAGCTAACAAATGCTAGTAAGCCATTATGAAAACTGTATGGAAGTTCCTCAAAAAATTACAAATAAAATGACTATATTATCCTGCTATCCCACTTCTGGATACTTACCACCACAAAATTGAAATCAGTATGTCAAAAAGATGTCTGCATTCCTATGTTCATTGCAGCACTATTCATAAAAGGCAAATTATGGAATCAGAATCCACCTAACAGTTTATCAACAGATGAATGGATAAAGTGGTACATATACACAATGGAATACTATTTAGCCTTTATAAAAATAAATAAAAAATTAATTCTGTAATTTTTATGTCAATTTATTCTGTAAAAAGTATTTTATGTCAATATATTTTATAAAAATTAATTCTGTCAATTGCAACAACTTGAATGGAATTGGAGGATGTTAATCTTAGTGAATTAAGTTTGGCACAACAGGAAAAATTCTCACATATGTGGAATTAAAAATAATCAAATTTATAGAAGCAGAGAGTAGGGTGATGATTACGAGAGGCTAGGGAGTGAGGGGAATAGGAAGATGATGGCCAAGGGGTACAAAGTTTTTGTTAGAAGAGGTAACAGGTGTTTTTTTGTGATTTATTTCCACAATGTGGTGAATACAGTTAATAATAGCATTTTGTACATTTAAAAATCACGAAGAGTAAATTTCAAATGTTCTCACCATAAAAATAATAAGCATTTGAGATGATATATAATTAGCTTAATTATTCCACATTATATTCATAAATCATAATGTAAGTTTTTACTCAATAAATCTATACAACCATAATTTGTCAATTATCAAAAAAATTAAAAAGGAAATTTATTAACAAAAAAGTTATTTTTAATTCATGCTATGTATTCATCTCAACTGAGTTGTAGTCTCTAACTCATGTTTTCCTGAATCTAGGCTACAAGATAAACTGCCACCTAGAGCATTGCTAGTTGCTGTGGAAAGATAATAGTGTTCTGAAGAGTCTCTTTTCAGAAAAGGTCTGTCAAAGAAGTGATGTAGGATTTTTTTGTTCACAAGTCATTGATCATTACTAGTAACATGGCCCCACACAACCCAAAAAGCCCAAAGAGGGTAGGGAAGTGTAGTCTTATCACAGGACTGAAAGGTGAAGAGCTGGGATATCTGATTTAAAAAAGCAATTGTGATTATTGCTATTCTGTATAAACAATATAAGTTTCTAAGGCATACAAAAATAAAATAGACATGACTTGTGTCTATACAGTGACAAACATAAAAATACACTCCTCTGAGATGCATGCAATAAGAGTTGAGTGACTACACAAAGAAAGCGTAAAAACCTCTGCTTCGATGAGCCTGGAAAAGTTTCAGAAAGAGAGAACTATTAGATCTGGGTCTTGAAGCATAAATAAGAGTTCAACAAGAAAAATAAAATGGGGATGGATAATTGTTAAAAAACAAGGCTTCTGCACAGAAAACAGAACTAATCAACAGAGTAAATACACAACCTACAGAACGGAAGAAAATCCTCACTAACTACATATCTGACCAAGGAATAATATACGAAATCTACATGGAACTCAAGCATATCAGCAAGAATGAAAAACACATAACCCCATTAAAAAGTGAGCAAACGACATGAATAGACATTTCTCAAAGGGAGATAAATAAATGGCCCACAAACATAAAAAAATGCTCAACATTACTAATCAGGAAAACGCAAATCAAAGTCACAATGAAGGCTAGGTGTGGTGGCTCATGACTGTAATCTCAGTACTTTGGAAGGCCATAGTGGGAGAACCACTTGAAGTCAGAAGTTTGAGACCAGCCTGGGAAACACAGAAAGACCTTGTCTCTACAAAAAAATAAACAATAAAAAAATCAGTGGGTGTAGTGGCATGTGCCGGAAATCCCAGCTATTCAGGAGGCTAAAGCGGGAGTATCACTTGAACCCAGGAGTTTGAAGCCATGTTTTTGCCACTTAACTCCAGCCTGTGCAACAGAGAAGACTTTGTCTAAAAAAAAAAACTCCAAACAAACAAACAACAAAAACAAACAAATAAAAAACCACTAAACTGAAAACTAAAACTAAAGATAAAACCACAATGACATACCACCTGACCCCAGTCAGAATGGCCAGTTTTAAAAAGTCAGGAAACAGTAGATATTGGTTATTGGTGCGAATGTGGTGAAAATGAAACACTTATACATGCTGGTGGAAATGTAAATGAGCACAACATCTACGGAAAATAGTATGGAAATTTCTCAAGTAACAAAGAGTAGATCAACGTTCGATTGAGCTATTCGATTATTGGGTATCTACCCAAAGGAAAAGAAGTAATTATGTCAAACAGACACTTTTACTCATTTGTTTATCACAGCACAATTCACAATTGCAAAGACATGGAATCAAATTTTCTATCAACAGATAAGTGGATAAAGAAAATGTAGTATATACACACCCCAGAATACTACTACACCATAAAAAAATGAAATAATGTCTTTTGCAGCAACTTGGATGGAACTGGAAGCCGTTGTCCTAAGTGAAGTAACTCAGAAATGAAAAACCAAATACCACATGTTCTCACTTATAAGCGAGAGCTAAGCTTTGGGTACACATAGGCATGCAGAGTGGTATAATGAACACTGGAGACTCAGAAGTGTGCAGTGTGGGAGGAAGGCAAGGGATAAAAAAAATCACCTATCAGATGCAATGTAATGTAAAGTATTCTTATACACTAAATATTTTTAATGCTGTGCTTCTGTGACCAAATAGCACTGATCTATATATTCAATATATATATATATCGAGAATAGATCAGTGGCATTTGGACACAGGGACAAAGCATTAGGGTTGTGAGGAGCAGCAGGAGGGAGTTTATAAAAAGCCATGAGAAAACTTTTCAGTGATTATCTTGAATGTGGTAATGATTTCAGAAGTGTATACATATCAAATTTATCAAATTATATTCATTAAAGATGCAATATTTAGTGTATATCAACTATAATTAAATAAAGTTTAAAATACTGAAGCAGTATACACATTAGGAGAGAAGCTAATTTCAAGGATAAGATTTGATTTTACTTCTAAGATTCTCTTGAAATTGTGTAAATGATGTATAGGGGAAAATGGAGGAGCATAGTTTAGAGAGGAAAGAGAGTTTATTAAATATACTGAGCTAGAGTTAGAGGTTATATGGAACATGCAGGAAGAGATGACTTGTAGGAAGTTTTACAGTATATTTGTAATGCAGAAGAATATTGTAGTATAAAATGTATTTGGAGGCCAATACAGTAGCCAGCAGAGAACACCATAGTATTTATGAAGCCATAGTATTTGTGAGAGTTACGTGATTCAACATGAATCAGGGGAAGGATGGATCTCTGAGAAAATTCCTATGGAAAGGAGGATTACAAAAGAGGATTAGTCAGGAAGATATGAGACCATTAAAGAGGAAAAAGACGAACAGATTAAAGTTACACCAAGTCCAAAGGTAAAACATGCAACATACTCTCAGGAGATTAAACAAAGTTGAAGGTACATATGAAAGGATGACAAAAAGGAAAAACGACAACATTTCTCTGAGAATCCAGTAAGTTATGTATACACACAGACAATTTTTAGACTTAGGGATGTTAAATTCAAGAAATTCACACGTGATAATCTAAATTTACTCAGTGTAATTTTAGAAAGCAAGATGAAAAGCAAGAAGGAAGGATGTTTGTCCACACATGACTAGTATAATAAATATAACAAATAACAAATAGTACATAGTTGTACAAGAGACATTCAAGTCATTTAATCAAAAAATTATGAATGCCTCAGGGCCTTGCCTATCTTATTATAATACTAAAATAATGAAAATATTTCCCATCATTTCTCTTGAACTGTTGTGACACATTCCATTTGTCAATTAGAAAATATACAATAATGAAATTATTCGTGAAGTAGTTAACCCACAAAGAGTTTTTTTCTGGCCCCCTGGTTCATATTTCTTGACAAAATTTGGATAGAGATCAGGGTTGAAAAAATGTAGAATGTTAGGAAAAATTCATGCTGTAGAGAAATGTAAGGTGGTTGTATTAGAACGTGGCTCATTACTGTCATAGGGAAATATAATTATTTTTGCCAATCTGAGATATAGGTAAGTCACTTAAATTTCAGGGGTGAGGGACTTGCCATGTTGTTCATTAAAATAAATCAAGTCTCCCATTTTAATTGAAAACTGCAGTTTAGCTGATAAAATAATAGATGACTTGGTAAGTATAATCAATTTTAATTAAGAATATTTCATACAATTAATCTTTGATTCAGTTTTTCTTTGTTTTACATTGTTGTTGTTGTTGTTTTTTAATAGGGATGGCTGGTTACCTGCATTTACTAAATAATAGGAATAGCTAATAACTATTCTCAATCATTTTTTCAAGTCATGGAATGTTATAATTAAGAATTTATGGAATAGAAAACCCAACTGATCCAGGTATCAGTGTTTCTCTTACACAATTCTCTTCTTGCATATGCCATTGATAGCAGACAATTGCGTCTTTTTTACTGTTTGATATAAAGTAATATTGATTTGTTTCTTTACTTCATTATTCTAATGCTAGCCTCTGGCTATTGATTTGTGTCAGCAAAGTCTTGAGATGTAGAAAGAAAAAACAAATCAGCTAGCTGACTACAAATAAATGTCCAGCTAAGGTCTACGGATTGGAAAAATACAAAAAACA
This sequence comes from Homo sapiens, assembly GCF_000001405.40. NCBI lineage: Eukaryota > Metazoa > Chordata > Mammalia > Primates > Hominidae > Homo > Homo sapiens. Next base: position 68,316,194 of record NC_000006.12, on the reverse strand, counting down.
AATAACAAAATAACTCATATTTGAACACTTAAGCTTTGCCTAGTACTATGCTAAGCACTTTCTACTTAATAATTAAGACATTGTATAAACCAGGTTTTATGAACATCTGTAATTTTCAGATTATTGAGAATCAGAGTAGCTAACTGAGGCACAATGACACACTTAAAAAGTAGTAAAAGTAAGATATGTATATATGTATATATTCTTAAAAACAACATAGTATCTCTATTACTTTATGAAATTTGAATTGAAAAATATTATCCTTACATATAAGGTCCAGCCTGCACACATGCAATTAGGTTGTGGTTATTTCCATCCCCAAAAGATTTTTGTCATAAAAAAGAATTCTCTGATAATGATCATTTTCTCTTTCACAAGATATGATAACAGCTAGTGATAAAAAGCTTGTTTAAAATAGTCGTTATTTTAAACTTCTAGAGCTGAACAGACTTGGAATCCTGCTCTCAGTAGGATTTTATCTCATGAGCCGTATGTAACTTAACCCCTCTGAATTTTATTTTTCAACTGGAAAATGAAGTAATAATAATACCTATCTCATTTTCAATGAGAAAAGCATGGGAAATGGTTGATAAAGTGACTGGCATATACTACACCTGAAATAATGTAATTAAACTCTTTATTACCACCACCACCATCATTATTATTGTCATCATCATCATTTAGATCTGTGTAAACCAATCTTTTCAGAAAGATAGCTGTTATGTACATTCAGTACACCAATGCAAGCTAATAATAGAGTTATCATTTGCAAACTAGCTTAAATGCACAGGGTGGCACAGAGATTTTTTCTTGCTCTAAATAAATATAAAAATGCAAGGGGCATATTTACTATAGTTATTCAAATTTTAAGTATAACTTCAAGCTGAATGTGATGACATATGCCTGTAATCCCACCTATTTGGGAGACTGAGGCAGGAGGATCACTTGAGCCCAGGAGTTTGAGGCACTTGAGGCCAGGTATTTGAGTCCATCCTGGGTAATATAATGAGACTCCATCTCTACACACACACATTCAAACTACATTTTATGTGTGTGTGTGTGTATATATGTATATATGTCACACATATAGTATATAGATATATCTATATATACCATATGTATAAGTATGCACATATACATATACATAAATATATATGTGTGAGACAGACAATGAAGCTCACAAATTGCTAATAAACTTCTGAAGAGATTCTTATTTCATATATACTACATATATACATATATTTATATAGAACTATATTTTATACACATATATGTTGTATATATACAAAATGTACATATACATATATAAAACAATATTTTATATATTTAGTATATGTATGAAATATAGCTTTGTACATATGTATACACATACGCATTCAAGGCAACATTTTTAGTGGTTCAGAAAACATAAAGCATAATTAAAAGTTATAAATAATATTAAAAATATTAATAATTGAGAACTCCCAGCTTGATGGAGATAGGTTATTCCACCATTCATTTCTATTTCTATGGAGATATTATGTAATTAATATATCAACCACAGTGCAGATGGCTTATGGAAAACCTTTCTGAGAACACCTTGATTTTACTGATTCAATCTTTTTCAACATTATCTCAACCAATCAAGGAGATTGATAATAAGACACAAAAATCACTCTAAAGTCAGTCTAATTTGGTCAATAGGCTGTAAGTAAAAAACAAACAAAGAATATTTCTTTTATTCCCTCAAGAAATAGAAACTTCTTCAGAAGAGTTTATTATTGATTGGTAAATTTCATTATCCCTCTTACGTTTAAATTATGCTTAAAAAATGAATAACTATGGTGATTTTGTCCTTTCCATTTTTACATTTCCATATGTAGTTGTATACCTATATACACACATATATGTGTATGTTATACACACAGACACAGACACATACACACATACATATAGATATATCTCTGGATATATCTATATATCTACACACCATATCAGGAAATATAATTAGATTACAACTTTTAATGTTTTGTATTAGAATGTGACCTCATGCCATGCATTTGATTGGATGACTTCAAGCCATGCATTTCATAAACTAAGCACATGAGGGCACATGGCACTAAGCAATGGAATCCTTTCGTAGCAAGTTTTTTGACCAGAAAGAGATCATGAGCTCAAAGGTAAAAATGAAATAAAATATTGGAAATTGAGACTTTTCCTTCAAATATCAAATTGCAGTCCAAATAAATACAATCTGTTCTGTTGATTAAAACTTATTGCTATTTAGCATCACTTGTGTTGGATAGAAGGAAAACATTTTCAGAGCTTTCATCTATATTTATATTTATCTGCTTTTCAGACTGGTACAACTTAGACTAGACAGAAATCCTATGACTTTCTGACATTTTGCTTAATTGAGGTCAGAAGAAAACAACAGCATTCAATTGCTGGGTTTACAGAAAAGGTAGAAGAATTGAATAACATTTTAATGATTTAAATTAAATTCTACCATTTTAAGATGTCTAGTGTCAAATTTTGGATACAGTAAAAGTTCAATAAATATTTGTTAAATCAAAAACAATTAAATTACATTAACTTAAAGTATTATTTGGCAATTATTTTTTCAAAATTTCAAGATATGACATTCACCTTCTAAAAATAAAAATGAAGGGAGTTATTCAAGTTATGAGATGTAAATTTTTGTTAACGTTTGAAAATTGCCTGTAGTTTTCACATTAAAAATATTTTAGAGTGTGAAAAAAGTGAAAATATATACACATACAAAACTAAGTCCCTGTGCATTATGTTTAATAATACATAGGTATATAAAGTAGTTATAAATAGCTTAATTATGAACTGGACATTTGAAATGTTGCTTTCCCCAAGGGCACAAATATGGATTAATTTGCTTAGAGACAGTTTTATATACATTTTCAAAAGTGTTTAAGCTGTTTTGTTCTGAAACCATAGCTAAAAACAAATAAGACTGCCTTTCATCAGGTGATCTTCAATATCTAATTCTTTCACATTTGTGAAAGAAAATTAGAATAAGAGACTTGGAGAGAGCACTGGCCCCTCATCCCCAACTGAATTCCATTATTCCCACAGAGAAATTCTAGGATGTTTCCTTAAGTTTTATCAGTTCCTGTTTTCAATGGTTTTGTGCTGATGGAGAAAAAGTATGAATAGTTACAGTTTAGTTCAAGAATGACCAATGTATTCTCTTGCATTTTCTAACTTTGGTCTTGTGTAGTAATTGAATTTCCACTCTATTCAAAACAAATTTAAGACTCTATTGTGGCTCAGTTTGACTAATTTTGATGGATCAGTGATGAATGTTATGGGCAACTGTGGGAAGAGGTAGTACCAAAATATGCAACAGGCTATCTTTGATCTCTTTTGTGTAGACTGCTCAGAGCTTCTAGGTATACTTTTCTCAAATATAATGATCCCTAAATTAAGAGAAACGGTATGGAAACAACCATCTGTCTCTACTACTATTGATATATCTTGAATACTCAGTATGGTGCACAGATAATGCTTAAGAAACCCAGTAATTACGTTTTAACTCAACTTCTTACTAGATACACATCCTAGGCTGATTGATATTATTAAATCCTCATAATCAATATAGTAGCAAGTAACTATGATTATGAAATTATTTAAATAATCCATACATTAAACATTTATTATTTCAATATTTGTATATAATAAAATCTAAATAAATATTAGTTATCATCATTTTCATTATACTGATTGTACTACTGACCATTTGCTTATATGTGTAGAAAATAACTACCCTCATCAGTCTCTTGGAAAATAAATATGTCAATCATATACACATATATAAATTTTTTTGTTAATGAACAAATGAGTCCAAATATATATACATTTTCTCATGAGTTTAAAAAATATTATTTAGATATTATTTAAATATTATTTAAGTATTATAATGACAATATCTGTAAAGGATGCCATTAAGACTTCTAAATTTCAATTTTTTAAAGATTTTTTGATTCTATATTAAATTTATTGTTTAAAAATGGGAATAAAATAATATTTTCATACATATTTTATGATTCAACAATACAGTACATAATGATAGGTGACCTAACAAGTACCTGAATATTGCCAATATTATTAAAAGTAGAATTTCAATAAGTTGCTATCATTTAAAATCTATTGAATACCTTTAGTTAGCAAGATTCTGTGACTAGAATAGGAGTTTATAAATAGTTGAATCATAGGAGTTTAGAATCATAGAGGTTTATAAATAATTGACTTTTAAAATTCCAAATACATTTTTAAGAAAGCCTGGATTCAGATATACAGTTATGCACTCAAGATCGTCCAGGATTTCTCAAAAAAAATTTTTTCTCTATTTCTCCGCTTTGGGAAAGTACTACTATTAAATTGAAAATTTGTAGAAAGCTAATTGGTATTAAAGCTTGATTCCTTGGGAAAGGCATGGTTAAAGAGGGTAAAATATAACTCTATATTCAAATGTAGGCATAGCTTGTTACTAGCCTATGATACCAGGCAAAACAATACTATTTTCTGCCCCAATTATCTTACATTTAATAGGATGTCATAGTATTTAATTTCCAGGTCTATTGTAGGAACTAAATAGAAGAGTGCATGCATATAGCCTAACATATTAATCTTTCATAACTCCTGAGATTACTTCATAATTCTTTTTGTATTTCTATAATTAAATTAGAATTTTTTTTTCTCATCATAAGGGGGAGGAGGTAAAGTAAGCTGTCTAATGACCAGTTTGATATATCCAAAATCTACTTTTTAAAAGGCACATTGGGTCATGCCAATCTCCTGCCAAAAGCCTTGCAAAGTCTTCTTAAAATCAATAAAATATTTTATTGTTGTTAACCTGGGTCAATATTATCTATCCTTTAACCATTTGTTCATAAATATTGCATATTTTGCACCCCCGTTTGGGTGGCTCCAATATTTTTCACCTCCCACCCTTGTATAGTCCCTTTTCTTACAGTGTTGACAGGATTGGTGACTTCCTTCTCACCAATAGAATATGACAAAGATGATGGAATATGAACCTTTCGATTCTGTTATGCTAATTAAAGCTTCATCTTGTTTTCTCACTTAAAGTATTTTTATTCTAGATGACTTTAAAGAAGCAAGCTTCAGTGAATCTTACATTTCCAAGAAAATAAATCCTGCAAAAAACCTGAGTGAGCTTAAAAGTGGACCCTTCCCCAATTCAGTCGACAGGAGATAACTCAGTCCTGGTCAAAAACTTTACTGCAGTCTCACAGAGGACCCAGATAAGCTCTTCCAGGACTTCTGACTCACAGAAACTATTAAACAATAACTGTATTTTTTTTAAATTCACTAAGTTTGTGGTAATTTGTTACATCACCTAAAGAATCAACACAACTTGTTTACTAGCAAGACTGCTTTTCTTTCAGTTCCTTCAACATGACAAGCTTGTGTGCTTGTCAGCTTTTAACTCGACTCTACCAATTCCTACCAGTCCCAAACCTGCTGCTATTACCGATTCTCATTATTCTTCTTATGTTCTTCATCATCCTAACATATTTAAAGTTAATTTACTTTGAAACATTTATTATCTGACTTGTAGTTCCTATGTTTTCCGTGAATTTTGCTACATCCCAAGAATCCTATGTCCAGCTAGGAAGGGCAAAGGCTCAGTGTTACTCTGTAGAGTGCAGTTATATCTATGCAATTCCAATTGTCTTGTAATTCGTATAATTGAAGCTCATGCTTGAAGATTTATTCAGCAAAATAATGTGTTTCATATATCCATAAATAACAAATTACTGTGTATTAAGGCAAGATAAAATGGCATCAATTATCAGAGTATGTAATCATAAAATGTACAGCCCTATTAAAGAAAATGGTGATTAAATATAAAATAAAACGCCAAATGAACAGCTACATGGAGACTTTAGAATTCTTCTTTATGAAAAAAATGTGTAATAATTAAATTTTTAGACATAAATCTGGAAATAGATTTTCTCAAAGATCATGAGGCCTAAACTACATACTACCTACCAATATGTAATGTAGGTCATCTTCAAAAATTGTTATGAATTCAAATCTTGAATAACTTGTTTGATTCATTTTGGGTATATATTTGAATTATTTAAACTACGGAAATAGAAAGAGGCACAAACATTCACATACAGAGAACATACTCAATCAAAGCATAATCGTTTCACAAAGGTTAACCCAGAATTTTGTGATAAAATGAAAAGTGATATTCTCTTAAGATTTGGGAGAAAAAAAATACCCAAACCTTCCTAACAGATTAAATCAAACACATTCAGAAAAAAAAAAAACTGACCACTTAAATAACAAGTTAAAAGATGGAAGCTAATGTGATCACGATGGAGGTATCTCCCAGATAAAATCTGGAATTATTGTACGAACTTCATGCCTAGGAATGCATTATGAGAATTTAAAGCAAAATGAAAGAAAGCCAAATAATTCAATATTTTGAAGTTAGGTGACTGATATAAAAAACCTAAGTTGTTATTATTTAGTATTGCAAAAAATATTCATTAAATAAATTATCCTCTACTGAATTAATCTCATTAATTTGTTCAAGTTTTAAACTTTTCAAGCCACATAAAAATATTTGGTATTGATAAAATGATCAATAAATATTTAATTAAATTACTGCTAATTTTATATCTCCTTGTAACCTTTCAAGAGATACGAATCACTGGAAAGTTGGCAAAAGCATCCCATTCTTCAGTTAAATTTGCATGTCACCATAAAAAAATAATGTGCTTGATAGTGTATTGAATTCCTGTACTTTTAGTTAGTATGAGTTAGTCCTCTATAGTAACAATCTCTGATCCATTGTCACTAGTGGATTTATTGACCTAAAAATATGGGAACAGACTCTGTATTTTATTTTTGCAAGATACATCATCAGCACAGTACTCTGTAGCTCTAAGTGATCTCTCATTTGAAGCTTCCTTTGTGGGCTTTGTATTTTACAGGATATACATATGCATACATATATAGTATAAATACATACACATATATAATATACACATATACATATATACACTTGTGGAAAAAATAATAAAATCAGAACAATACAGGGTAAGAAATGACTGATTTTCTCATATATAAATTTCATAATCTAGCTAATCTACTAGTCTATTTGATGGTAAATAGAGATCAGCTTTTGTTTAGAAGAAACAAACATAGAGCTAAATTGAATTCCTTAAAAGTAAAATTATTTTTAGTTAATACAAGCTTACCTTTAGCCATTCTTCAAATTGACTGGAACAAATCCAAGCATTAAAAATGTACATACCAAGTATTTTTAATTCTGTTCTTTAAAATAGCTTTCATATCTACTTGGCCACAAATGCAAGATGTTCCTATTGATAGTATGTCTGCTTTATTTCGCCACTTGAAAGAGTGTAATTAAGGTGGAGGATATGAAATTTAGGGAATAAAAATCAATAGTATATCATACAATAATGTATATTTGTTTCAATGTATTTGCAATAAATATTGCATCTATATCTGCTATGTATATATACATATATACATATACACAATATATTTATGTTAAGAGTGTGAATTTGAATTCTTCCTTAGTCTCTGCTGATTTTTGATGTGGGAAAGTTAATTTGCCTTACTAATCCTGAATCTTTTCAAATTTAACACACAGAATCCTATTCACCTTATAAAGTTATTTTGAGGATCAAATGATCAAATAAACTAAATGGGTAGGATATTGCTATTATTAGTCCAATGTCAGCCTGCCAGCAATTTATAGTTTTTTATTTTGTATATATTTGCATTTGTTTTCAAGTCATGAATATTTAAATACAGCATATTAAATAAAATCAATATTAAAAAGTTTATTTTGCTTATTTCTAATGCCATGCGTTTCAATGCTTACCTTTAAAAAAACAAGTCCTTAGGGCAGAAAATGTATAGTACAAATTTAATTCTGTTTCAATGTTACACAATTGTAAATAAGGCAACATTTTTTTTTTTTCTCTAAAGAGAAGCAACATTTTCCCAGTGGCAGAAAAGCCTTTCTCTCACCTGCCAAAAACAACTTCCTTGCCCCCGTTATTCCTCTAACTTCTATTTATTTATTTATTTATTTTTTTATTTTTTTAAATTATACTTTAAGTTTTAGGGTACATGTGCACATGTATTCCTCTAACTTCTAAAGGCAAGTTTGGAGACTACATGAGTTATTATGTTCTTCTATTCTGTGAGTTACATACAACATATGCTTGCCTGAGGAGATTTCCAAACCTTGGTTATTATTAATGTAACAATTTAGGGCATAAGCAGCCCAGAGCATAAACCCTGTCTTCATGGGCTGCACTGCATCTTCTCATTAAACATGGAGAAACTTCATCTTCCATTCAATTACAGATGCCTAAATAATATGTTTTCCCCTGGCAAGCTAAGCTTCATAAGTATTAAAGAGGGAAAATAAAAGTTATCTTATCTTTCTAAATAGCATTAATTTCTTACATTTCAGTCACAAAATGCTGTCAACCAGCTAAAAGTGTGTAAGTGACTCACTGGTCAAGGAGATAGCACAATTGTCTTTTGAGAAATTGTGCATGATTTAAAACTCATGATCTGAAATAAAACATGAATCCCTAAGGATTATTGGAGGGCTTATCTGTAACAGCTCACACAAAGCAATATATTGTTGGTTATGTACTCTTTGAGCAGGCAGGCTTATTCCAGGGTCTTGGCCACTCCTGGTTTTTATACATTATTACCTCTTCAGGGAACGAGATACCTATCTAGAGTCATAAAGATGCCATTAAGAAGACAGTATCTGGGGTTGTGGTTAGTAAGCTACTGTCTCTCTGAATTCACACTTTTTCAAGCTCAGCTGAACTCTCACAAAATCTAGACAATTACTTTATTCATCTTTTTTTTTTTTTTTTGCCTCCTCTACCACATATCCCATGAAACCTATCTAGAACCCTTCCCACTTATCTAGTACACTTAAACATACCTTTCCTAGCAGACGAAGGCCATTTCTCAGCTTTCAAAACTACAGCTCTGGAAGATTAGGGAAGGAAGGGGAGAAATTAACATTTTTTGAAAGTCTATTATTATAAGGTTAAAATAACTATGGATATTAGTATAATTTTTCTAGCTTATGGATGAGAATATTTGACCTGGAGAAATCAAGTGGGTATTTGAGGATTGCACACACGTAGTGAATTAGAGTACAAATTCTAAGTCAACTTGGTCTAATGCCAATGTCTAAGCTGCCTTCCAAAAAGCACAGCTTTTTTGAGTTCAATTGTTTTGGTTTTTAGATCCCACAAATAAGAGAGAACATTCAATGTTTGTCTTTCTGTGCCTGACTTATTTCATTTAACATAATGATCTCCAGTTCCATCCATATTGTTGCAAAGGACAGAATCTCATTTTTTTATGGCTGAAAAGTACTCCATTGTGTATATGTACGACATTTTAAAAAATCCATTTATCTGTTGATATACACATAGGTTTCTTCCAAATCTTAGCTATTGTAAACAGTATTTCAACAAGCATAGGAGTGCACATATCTCTTTGATGCACTGATTTCCCTTTTTGGGGGGTTAATACTCAGCAGTGACACTGCCACATCTTATGGTAGCTAAATTTGTAGCTTTTTGAGGAACTTCCAAACTGTTCTCCATAATGGTTGTACTAATTTACGTTCCTTCCAATATTATATGAGGCTTCCTTTTTCTCCACATCCTCACTAGCACTTGTTGCTTTTCTTTTGGATCCAAACTATCTTAATTGGGGTGAGATTACATCTCATTGTAGTTTTGATTTGCATTTATCTGGTGATCAATGATTTTGAGCACTTTTTCATATGCTTGTTTGCCATTCATATGTCTTTTGAGAAATGTCTATTCAAATCTTTTGGCCATTATTTAAATTGAATTATTAGATTTTATCCTAAAGTTGTTTGAACTCCTTATACAATTATTAATCCCTTCTCAGAGGGATAGTTTGCAAATATTTTCTTCCACTCTCTGGATTGTCTCTTCACTTTGTTGATTGTATTCTTTGCTGTGCAGAAGCTTTCTAACTTGATGTAATCCCATTTGTCCATGTTTGCTTTGGTTGCCTGAGCTTATGGGTTATTGCTCAAGAAATCTTCGCCCTTACCAATGTCCTGGCAAATTTCCCCAATGTTTCCTGGTAGTTAATTTCATGGTTTCCGGTCTTAGATATAAGTCTTTAATCCATTTTGATTTGATTTTTGACTGTGGCGAGAGATAGGGGTTCAGTTTCATTCTTCTGAATGTGGATATCCAGTTTTCCCAGCACCATTTATTGAAGACAATGTCTTTTCTCCAGTGAATATTTTTGGCATCTTTGTCAAAAATGAGTTAGCTGTAAGTGTGCAGATATGTTTCTGGATTCTCTATTCTATTCCATTCATCTATGTGCCTGTTTTTCTGCCAGTACCATGCTATTTTGGTTACTACAGCTCTATACTATAATTTGAAGCCGGGTAATATGATTCCTCCACTTTTGTACTTTTTGCTTAGGATAGCTTTGGCTATTCTGAGTCTTTTGTGATTTTATATAATTTTTAGGATTGTTTGTTTCTATTTCTGTGAAGAACGTCATTAGTATTTTGATAGGAATTGCAATGAATCTGTAGATTGCTTTGGGTAATATGGACATTTCAACAATATTTATTCTTCTGATCCATGAACATGGAATATTTTTACATTTTTTGTGTCTTCTTCAATTCTTTCATTAGTCTTTTATTGTTTTCATTATAGAGATCTTTCACTTTCCTGGTTATTTTCTATGTATTTTATTTTATGTGTGGCTATTATAAATATAATTTTTTAAATTCTTCTTCACATTTTTCACTGTCAGCATATAGAAATGCTACTAACTTTTGTATGTTGATTTTGTATTCTATAACTTGACTAAATTTATCAGTTCTAATATTTTTCTTGTGGAGTCTTTAAGTTTTTCCAAATATAAGATCATATTTTCAGCAAACAAGGATAATTTCAATTCTTCCTTTACAATTTAGATGCCGTTTATTTTTTTTTCCCCCTTCTCTGATTAGTTTAGTTAGGAATTCCAGTACTATGTTAAACAAAAGTGGTGAAAGTGGACATCCTTGTCATGTTCCAGATCTTGCAGGAAAGGTTTCCGTTTTTCCAAGTTCAGTATGATACTAGCTGTAGGTCTGTCATTGTGGCTTATATTACATTGAGGTATGTTTCTAATATACCCAGTATTTTGAGGGTATTTATTATTAAGGGATGTTGAATTTTATCAGATGCTTTTTCAGCAATTTAAATAATTATAAGGTTTTTATCCTTCATTCTGTTGATATAATGGATTATGTTGATTGATTTGCATATATCAAACCATCTTTGCTTATCAGGGATAAAACCCACTTGGTCATGATGCGTGATCTTTCTAATGTATTGTTGAATTTGGTTTTCTTGTATTTTATTGGGGATATGTGTATCAATATTTATCAGAGATATTGGTCAGTAGTTTTTTTTTTAAGTGTTTTTGGTTTTGGTATCAGGTTCATAGAAATCTCATAGAATAAGTTTGAAAATAATCCCTCCTTTTTTTGCAGAATAGTTTGAGTAAGGTTGACATTAGTTCTTCTTTAAATGTTTGGTATAATTCAGAAGTAAAGCCATGGGTCCCGGGCTTTCCTTTACTAGGAAGCTTTTTATTATGGCTTTGATCTTATAACTTGTTATTGGTCTTTCCAGGTTTTGAATTTCTTCCTAATTCAATTTTGATAGGTTGCATGTATCTAGAAATTTGTTCATTTTTTCTGGATTTACCAGTATATTGGCATGTATTTGCTCATAGTAGCCATTAATTATCCTTGGAATTTCTGTGGTATCAGTTGTAATAGATCTTTTTTTATTTCTGATTTTATTTATTTGGATTTTCTTAATTATTTTCACAGACTGGTTAAAGGTTCATCAATTTTGTTTAAGTATTCAAGAAACCAACTTTTTGTTTTATTAATTTTTTTATGATTCATCATCTCAATTTTACTTATTTTTGCTCTCATCTTTATTATTTCTTTTTTTCTACTAATTTTGGTTTGCTCTTGTTTTTCTAGTTCTATGTAAGATGCATCATTAGACTGTTTATTTACAAAATTTTTCTCTTTTTTCATGTAGGCACTTATAGCTATCGCCTTCCCTCTGTTTACTGCTTTCACTGTATCCCTTAGGTGTAGTTATGATTTGTTTCTATTATCACTTGTTTAAAATTTTTTAAAAAATTTTCTTCTTAATTTTTTCATGAACCCAGTGGTCATTCAGGAACATATTGTTTAATTTACATGTATTTGTATAGTTTCCAAAACTCCTCTTGTTATTAATTTCCAGTTTTACTCCATTGTGGTAACAGAAGATGCTTGATATTATTTTAGTTTTTTAAATTGTTTTAAGACTTGGTTTATGTCTTAACATATTGTCTATTCTAGAGAATATCCATGTGCTGAGGAAAAGAATGTGTAATCTGCAGCTCTTGGATGAAATGTTCTGTAAATATCTGTTAGATCAATTTGGTCTATGGTGCAGACATTAAATGTAAATGGGCTAAATGCCCCAATTAAAAGACACAGACTGGCAAATTGGATAAAGAGTCAAGACCCATTGGTGTGCTGTATTCAAGAGACTCATCACATGTGCAAAGACACATATAGGTTCAAAATAAAGGGATGGAGGAAGTTTTACAAAACAAATGGAAAGCAAAAAAAAAAAAAAGAAAGCAGGGGTTGCAATCCTAGTCTCTAATAAAATAGACTTTAAACCAACAAAGATCAAAATAACAAAGAAGAGCATTACATAATGGTAAAAGGATCAATGCAACAAGAAGAGCTAACTATCCAAAATGTATATGCACCCAATACAGGAGCACCCAGATTCAGTTCTGAGAGACCTACAAAGAGACTTAGACTCCCACACAATAATAGTGGGAGAATTTAACACTTCACTGTCAGTATTTGACAGATCAATGAGACAAAAAATTAACAAGGATATTCAGGACTTGAACTCAGCTCTGGACCAAGCAGACCCAAGACATCTACAGAACTCTCCACCCCAAGTCAACAGAATATACATTTTTCTCAGCCCCAAATCACCAAATTAAACACATAGTTGGAAGTAAACCAATCCTCAGCAAATGCAAAAGAATGGAAATTATAACAGTCTCTCAGACCACAGTGCAATAAAATTAGAACTCAGGATTAAGAAACTCACTCAGAACTACACAACTACATGAAAACTGAATAACCTGCTCTTGGATGACTACAGGGTAAATAACGAAATTAAGGCAGAAATAAATAAGTTATTTGAAACCAATGAGAACAAAGATACAACATACCAGAATCTCTGGGACAAAGCTAAAGCAGAGTTTAGAGATAAATTTATAGCACTAAGTGTCCACAGGAGAAAGTGGGAAAGATGTAAAATTGACACCCTAACATCACAATTAAAAGAACTAGAGAAGCAAGAGTAAACAAATTAAAAAGCTAGCAGAAGACAAGAAATAACTAAGATCAGAGCAGAACTAAAGGAGATAGGAAAACAAAAAAACACTTCAAAAAATTCATGAATCCAGGAGCTGGTTTTTTGAAAAGATTAACAAAATAGGTACACTGCTAGCCAGACTAATAAAAAAGAAAAGAGAGAAGAATCAAATAGATAAAAAATGATAAAGGGGATATCACCACAGATCCCACAGAAATACAAATTACCATCAGAGAATACTATAAATACCTCTATGCAAATAAACTAGATAATCTAGAAAAAATGGATAAGTTCCTGGACACATACACACTCCCAAGACTAAACCAGAAGGAAGCCAAATCCCTGAATGGGCCAATAACAAGTTCTGAAATTGATGCAGTAATTAATAGCCTACTAATTAATACAAAGCCCAGGACCAGACGGATTCACAGTGGAATTCTGCTAGAAGTACAAAAAGGAACTGGTGTCATTCTTTCTGAAACTATTCCAAACAATATAAATGTTTACTCATTTTATGATGCCAGCATCATCCTTATAACAAAACCTGGCAGGCACAACAACAACAAAAAAGAGTTTCAAGCCAATATCCATGATGAACATCAATGAGAAAATTCTCAATAAAATACTTACAAACCAAATTCAGCAGCACATCAAAAAGCTTATCCACCATGATCAAGTCAGCTTCAACCCTAGGATGGAAGTCTGGTTCAACATATGCAAATCAATAAACATAATCCATCACATAAACAGAACCAATGGCAAAAACCACAAGATTATCTCAATAGATGCAGAAAAGGCCTTCAATAAAAATCAACACCCCTTCAAGCTAAAAACTCTCAATAAACTTGGTATTCACAGAATGCATCTCAAAATAATAAGAGTTAGTTATGACAAACTCACAGCCAATATCACACTGAATGGGAAAACGCTGGTAGTATTCCCTTTAAAAACCAGCACAAGACAAGGATGACCTCTCTCACCACTCCTATTCAACATAGTATTGGAAGTTCTGGCCAGAGCAATCAGGCAAGAGAAAGAAATAAAGGGTATTCAAATAGGAAGAGAGGAAGTCAAATTGTCCCTGTCTGCCGATGACGTGATTGTATATTTAGAAAACCCCATCATCTCAGCCCAAAATCTCCTTAGCTGATAAGCAATTTCAGTAAAGTCTCAGGATACAAAATCAATGTGCAAAAATCAGAAGCATTCATATACGCCAATAATAGGCAAACAGAGGATCAAATCATGAGTGAACTCCCATTCACAATTGCTACAAAGAGAATAAAATACCTAGAAATAAAACTTACAAGGGATGTGAAGGACCTGTTCAAGCAGAACTACAAACCACTGCTCAAGGAATTAAGAGAGGACACAAACAAATGGAAAAATATTCCATGCTCATGGATAGGAAGACTCAATATCGTGAAAATGGCCATACTGCCCAAAGTAATTTATAGATTCAATGCTATCCACATCAAGCTACCATTGACCTTCTTCACAGAAGTAGAAAGAACTACTTTAAATTTCATATGAAACCAAAAAAGAGCTCGTATAGCCAAGAAAATCCTAAGCAAAAAAGAACAAAGCTGGAGGTATCATGCTACCTGACTTCAAACTATAATCCAAGCTACAGTAGCCAAAACAGCATGGTACTGTTACCAAAACAGATATATAGACCAATGGAACAGAACAGAGGCCTCAGAAATAATGCCACACATCTACACCCATCTGATCTTTGACAAACCTGATAAAAACTAGTAATAAGGAAAGGATTCCAAATTTAGCAAATGGTGTTGGGAAAACTGGCTAGCCATATGCTGAAACCGAAACTGGACCCCTTCCTTACACTTCATACAAAAATTAACTCAAGATGAATTAAAGACTTAAATGTAAGACTTAAACCATAAATATCCTAGAAGAAAACCTAGGCAATACCATTCAGGACACAGGCATGGGCAAAGGCCTCCTGACTAAAACACCAAAAGCAATGACAACCAAAGCCAAAATTGATGAATGGGATATAATTGAACCAAAGAGCTTCTGCACAGCAAAAGAAACTAACTTCAGAATGAACAGGCTACCTACAGTATGGGAGAAAATGTTTTCAATCTATCCATCTGACAAAGGGCTAATATCCAGAATCTACAAGGAACTTAAGCAAATTTGCAAGAAAAAAACAAACAACCCCATCAAAAAGTTGGAGAAGGATATGTACAGATACTTCCCAAAAGAAGTCATTTATGCGACCAACAAACATATGAAAAAACACTCATCATCAGTGGTCATTAGAAAAATGCAAATCAAAACCACAATGAGATACCATCTCACGCCGGTTAGAATGGTGATCATTAAAAAGTTAGGAAACAACAGATGCTGGAGAGGATGTGGAGAAATATGAATGCTTTTACATGGTTGGAGGGAGTGTAAATTAGTTCAACCATTGTGGAAGACAGTGTGGCAATTCCTCAAGGATCTAGAATCAGAAATAACATTTGACCCAGCAATCTCATTACTGGATATATATCCAAAGGATTTTAAATCATTCTACTATTAAGACATATGTACATGTATGTTTATTGCAGCACTGTTCACAATACCAAAGACTTGGAACCAACCCAAACACCCATCAATGATAGGCTGGATAAAAATAGCGTGGCACATATACATGATGGAATACTATGCAGCCATTAAAAAAGGATGGGTTCGTGTCCTTTGCAGAGACATGGATGAAGCTGGCAAACATCATTCTCAGCCAACTAACACAGGAACAGGCAATCAAACACCACATGTTCTCACTCATAAGTGGGAATTGAACAATGAGAAGACATGGACACTGGGAGGGGAACATCATACACTGGAGCCTGCCCAGGAGAGGGGAGATAGGGGAGGCACAGCATTAGGAGAAATATCTAATGTAGATGATGGGTTGATGGGTGCAGCAAACTACCATGTCACGTGTATACCTATGTAACAAACCTGCATTTTCTGCACATGTATTCCCAAACTTAAAGTATAATAAAAAAAGGAAGCATACATTTTAAGTTGTTATATATGCTTGCTGACTTGACCCCTTTATCATTACTATATCATTATATAGTTACCTTTTTTTGTCTCATCTTATAGTTTTGTCTTGAAATCTATTATGTCTGACATAAGGATAGCATCTCCTGACTTTTTTGGCTCCATTGGCATGGAATATCATTTTTTATCTCTTTATTTTCAGTCTGTGTGTGTCTTTACAGGTGAAGTGTGTTTCCTGTAGGCATGAGATCAATATGTCTTATTTATTCACCTATTCTGTCAATGTATCTCTTTTGATTGGAGATTTTTGTCCATTTACATTCAATGCTATTACTGATAAGTAAGAACTTACTCTTGTCATTTTGTTATCTGTTTTCTGTTTGCTTTGTGGTGTTATCTGCCTTCTTTTTTTTCTGTCTTCTTCTAGTGAACCTGATTGTCTTTGGTGAAATTATTTTTCTTCCTATCTTTAATTTTTTTGCATATGCATTGCGTGTTTAATAGTGTGAGGTTACCATGAGGCTTTCAAATACTATCATAATCCATTATCTTAACCTGATAACAACATTATTTTCACAAATAAATAAGCAAAAAGAAAACTGTTAAAAACTCTACACCTGAACTTCGTCCCCCTGCTTTTTAACTTTTTATTGTTTCTATTTATATCTTATTGTATGGGTTGTGTCTTGAAAAGTTGTCATGCTTATTTTTTGATTGGTTCATTGTTAATTCTTTCCACTTAGGATAAGAGTAGTTTATACACCACACTTACAGTGTTATAGTATTCTGTGTTTTTCTGTGTACTTCCTATTACCACTGAGCTTTATAACTTCAGGTGATTGCTTATTGCTCATTAACGTCCTTTTCTTTCTGATTAAAGTGCTCCTTTTAGCATTTCCTGTAGGGCAGGTGTGGTATTAATAAAATGCTTCAGCTTTTTGTTTGTCTGGGAAAGTCTTTATACCTCCTTCATGTTTGAAGGATATTTTCACCAGATATTCTATTCCAGGGTAAAATATTTTTTCCTTCAAGCATGACTTGAAATATGTCATGCTAGTCTCTCCTGGCCTGTAAAGTTTCCACTGAAAAGCCTGCTGTCAGACATATTGATGCTCCATTGTATGTTACTTGCTTCTCTTCTCCTGCTGCATTTAGAATCTTTTCTTCATCCTTGACCTTGGGGAGTCTGATTATTAAATGCCTTGAGGTAGTTTTTTTGGGTTAAACCTACTTGGTATTCTGTAACTTTTTTGTACTTGGATATTGATATTTTTCTTTAGGTTTGGGAAGTTCTCTATTATTACCCCTTTGAATAAACCATCTACTCCTATCTCTTTCTCTACCTCCTATTTAAGGACAATAACTCTTAGATTTGGCTTCTTGAGGCTATTTTCTAGATCCTACATGTATGCTTCATTGTTTTTATTCTTTTTTCTTTTGTCTCCTCTGGCTGTGTATTTTCAAATCACCTGTTTTTAAGCTCACAATTCTTTCTTCTGCTTGATCAATTCTGCTTTTGAGAGATTCTGATGCATTCTTTTGTTTGCCAACTGTATTTTCTAGCTCCAAAATTTTTGCTCCATTCTTTTGAATTATTTCAATTTCATTGTTAAATTTATCTGGTAACATTCTGATTTCCTTCTCTGTGTTATCCTGAATTTCTCTGAGTTTTCTCAACATGGCTATTTTTAATTCTCTGTCTGAAAGGTCACATATCTGTTTCTCCAGTATTGGTACCTGGTGCCTTATTTCATTTGCTGAGGTAATGTTTTCGGGGATGGTGTTGATGCTAGGAGAGATGTTCTTCAGAGTCTGAGCATTGAAGAGTTAGGTATTTATTGTAGTCTTCATTGTCTGGATTTACTTGTAGCCATCCTTCTTGGAAACACTTTTCAGATATTTGAAAGATCTAAGCTCTATCTGCTTTATGGGGCATACCAAGCCCAGTAATTCTGTGGTACTGCAGACTTGTAGAGGTACATCCTTGGTGGTCTTGGACAAAATCTAGGAGAGTTTTCTGGTTTACCAGGCAGACACTCGTGTTCCCTTCCTTTGTCCCAAACATGCAGAATCTTTCTCTCTCTCTGTTCTGAGCCACCTAAAGCTGGAGGTGGAGTGACACAAGCACTCCTGTGGCCCCCACCACTATGACGGCTCTGAGTCAGACCTGAAGCCAGAGCAGTGCTAGGTCTTTTCCAAGGCCTGCTGTAACCACTCTCTGGCTACTATCTATGTTTGCTTAAAGCCCTGGATCTCCACAATCAGCAGGTGGCAAACAAGGCCTCTGTCTTGCCCTTCACAGCAGTGAGGTTCCCTATGCTCTGGGTGGGTACAGAAGTTTCATCCAGGAGTTAGGGACTAAAGTAAAAAACCTTAGAACTCCACCTGTTATATAATATTGTGTTATGTCATATTGTGGTTGAGCTGACACTCAGACAGCAAGATGCAGCCCTTCCCACTCTTCTCTCCTTTTACTAAAGGGAGAGGAGCCTCACACCATAGCCACTGCCATCTCAGGCCACAAGGAGCACTGACAGATTATCACCAATGTTCCATTAAGCCCCAAGGTCTCTTCTTTTATTATTATTTTTAAATTTTCGACTTTTATTTTATGTTCAGGGGGACATGTACAAGATATGCAAGTTTGTTTCACAGGTAAAAGTGTGCCATGCTCGTTTGCTCTAAAGATAATCCCATCACTCAGGTATTAAGCCCAGCATCCATTAGCTATTCTTCCTTATGCCCTCACTCCTCCCCACAAGCCCCCATTCTCTGACAAGACACAGTGTGTGATGTTTCCCACCTCCTTGTGTCCATGTGTTCTCATGATTTAGCTCCTACTTATAAGAGAGAACATGTGGTATTTGATTTTCTGTTCCTGCATTAGTTTGCTAAGGATAATGGCCTTCAGCTCCATCCATGTCCCTGCAAAGGACATGACCTCATTCCTCTCTATGGCTGCATAGTATTCCATGGTGTATATGTACACATATTCTTTATCCAGAGTATTATTGATGAGCATTTAGGTTGAGTCCATGTTTTTGTTACTGTGAATAGTGCTGCAATGAACATATGCATGCATGTGTCTTTATAATAGAATGATTTATATTCCTTTTGGTATATACTCAGTAATGGGATTGCTGGGTTGAATGGTATTTCTGCCTCTAGGTCTTTGAGGAATTACCACAGTTTTCCACAATGGTTAAACTAATTCACACTCTAACCAACAGTAAAAAACTGTTCCTTTTTCTCCAAAACCTTGCCAGCATCTGCTGTTTTTTGGCTTTTTAGTAATAGCAATTCTGACTGGTATGACATGGTATCTCATTGTGGTTTTGACTTGCATTTCTCTAATGGTCAGTGATGTTGAGTTTCTTTTCATGTTTTTTGGCTGCATGTATGTTTTCTTTGGAGGAGTGTCTGTTCATATCCTTTGCATACTTTTTAATGGGGTTGTTTGTTTTTCCTGTAAATGTATTTAAGTTCCTTATAGATGCTGAATATTAGACCATTGTCAGATGGATAGATTGCAAAATTTGTTTCCATTCTGTAACTTGTTTGTTTACTCTGCTAATAAATTCTTTTGCTGTGCAGAAGCCCTTTAGTTTAATTAGATACTATTTGACAATTTTTGCTTTTGCTGCAATTGATTTTGGCATCTTCCTCATGATACTTTTGCCTGTACCTATGTCCTGAATGGCATTGCCTAGGTTTTCTTCGAAGGATTTTATAGTTTTGGGTTTTACATTTAGGTTTTTAATTTGTCTTGAGTTGATTTTCGTATATGGTGTAAGGAAGGGGTCCAGTTTCAGTTTTCTGCATATGGTTAGCCAGTTCTCCCAGCACCATTTATTAAATAGGGAATTCTTTCCCCATTGCCTGTTTTCATCAGGTTTGTTGAAGATCAATGGTTGTAGATGTGCAGTCTTATTTCTGGGTTCTATATTTTGTTCCATTGGTATATGTGTCTGTTATCATACCAGTACCATGCTGTTTTTGTTTCTGTAGCCCTGTAGTATAGTTTGAAGTCAAGTAGCATGATGCCTGCAGCTTTGTTCTTTTTGCTTAGAGTTACTTTAGCTATTCAGAGTTTGTTTTGGTTGCATATGAATTGTAAAATAGTTTTTTTCTGGTTCTGTGAAAAAATGTCAATTGTAGTTTAATGGGAATAGCACTGAATCTATAAATTGTTTTGACAGGATAATTATTCCTCTCCATGAGCATGGACTGTTTTCCAATTTGTTTTGTGTCTCCTATAATTTCTGTGAACAGTGGTTTGTAGTTATCCTTGAGGAAGTCCTTCACTTCTCTTGTTAGCTGTATTCCTAGGTATTTTCTCCTTTTTGTCAGTATTGTGAATGGAAGTTCATTTTTGATTTGACTTTTGGCTTGTCTGTTGTTGCAGTACAGAAATGCTAGTGATTTTTGCATATTGACTTTGTATCCTGAGACTTTGCTAAAATTGCTTATCAGCTTAAGAAAATTTTGGGCTGTGATGATGGGGTTTTTTAGGTATAGGATCATGTCATCTGCAAACAAAGTTTTACTTCCAGTCTTCCGATTTAAATACCCTTTATTTCTTTCTCTTACCTGATTGCCCTGGCCATAACTTCCAATACTACATTGAATAGGAGTGGTGAGAGAGGGTAACCTTGTCTTGTGCTGGTTTTCAAGTGGAATGATTCCAGCTTTTGCCCATTCAGTATGATATTTCCTGTGGGTTTGTCATATATGGTGCTTATTATTTTGAGGTATGTTCCTTTGATATCTGTAGTCTCTCAGACAAAAACACAATCAATTTAGAACTCAAGATTAAGAATTTCAGTCAAAACCATGTAACTACATGGAAACTGAACAACCTGCTCCTGAATGACTTTTTGGGTAAATAATGAAATTAAGGTAGAAATCAAGAAGTTATTTGAAAGAATGAGAACAAAGACACAATGTACGAGAATCCCTGGGACACAGCTAAAGCAGGATTAAAAGGAAAATTTATAGCACAAAATGGCCACGTACAAAAGCTAGAAAGATCTTATGTTAACAACCCAACATCACAACTAAAAGAACTGAAGAACCAATAGGAAACAAACTCCAAAAGTAGCAGAAGACTAGAAATAACCAAGATCAGAGCTAAACTGAAGGAGCTGGAGACACACACACACACACACACACACACACACACAAAACCTTCAAAAATTAGTAAATCCAGAAGCTGGTTTTTTGAAAAAATTAATAAAATAGATAGATTACTAGCTAGACTAATAAAAAATAAAAGAGAGAAGAGTCAAATAAACACAATCAGAAGTGTTAAGGAAGATAACACTACTGACCCCACAGAAATACAACCATCAGAGAATATTATAAACAACCTCTCTGTACATATACTAGAAAATCTGGAAGAAATGGATACATTCCTGGACACAAACACCTTCCCAAGACTGAACTAGGAAGAAATTAAATCGCTGAACAGATCAGTAATTAGTTCTGAATTTGAGGCAGTAATAAATAACCTACCAATTAAAAAGAGCCCAGGACCAGAAAGAGTCACAACTGAATTCTATCACAGGTACAAAGAAGAGCTAGTACCATTCCTACTGAAACTATTCCAAAAAACTGAAAAGGAAGGACCCCTCCATAACTCATTCTATGATGCCAACATCAACATCATCCTGGTACCAAAACCTGGCAGAAATACCAAAAAAAAAAAAAAAAAAAAAAAAAAAAAAAGAGAGAGAGAGAAAGAAAAGAAAACTTCAGGCCAATATCCTTGGTGAATATTGATGCAAAAATCCTCAACAAAATACTGGCAAACTGAATCCAGCAGCACATCAAAAAGCTTATCCATCACGGTCAAGTAGGCGTCATCCTCAGGATGTAAGGCTGGTTCAGCGTATGCAAATCAGTAAGTGTGATTCATCACATAAACAGAACTAAAGACAAAAAGCACATAATTATCTCAATAGAGGCAGAAAAGGCTTTTGATAAAATTCAACATCCCTTCATGTTAAAAACTCCCAAGGTCTCTTAAGTCAGCTTGTGGTGAATGCTGCCTGTTCTGCAACTCATCTTTCAGGGCAACTCTGGCCCAGGACAGGTCCAGAAATGCAGTCCAAGAGTCAAGCCCTGGAACTGGAGACCCCCAAGAGCTGCCTTAGTGCTCTATGCCCCTATGGCCTTGCTGGTACCTGAGGTGCGAGACAAAGTCTCCTTTACTTTTCTCTTTGCTTTTCTCAAGCAGGAGTTTTGCTCAGTGCTCACTGTGGCTGGTTATGTGCTGAGTCCCACCTGAAGTCCACAAGTCTGAGGTTCAGTCAAGGCCCTCAATGTAGTACCTGGGTATGGCTCCTATTCATTCAGGGCCCAAGGGCTCTTCAGTTAGCAAGTGATGAATACTGGCAAGTCTGGTTCCTTTCCTTCAAGTCAGTGGGTTCCATTCTGGCCCAGGGTGTGTCTAGAAATGTTGTCCAGGAGCTAGGGCCTGGAACAGGGGCCTCACATCTCTGATTGGTGCCCTAGCCTACTGTGGCTGGGCTGATATTCTAGATGCAAGACAAAGCCCTCCCCATTCTTCCTCTTCCTCTCCTCAAGTAGAAGGAAGGGTTCTCTTTTGGAGCTGTGACCTGTGCAGCTGGGTTAGGGGAGGCACAGTGCAGAACTCCCTTGGCTGCCCCAGCTGACTTCTCAGTATGTTGTGTCTCCTCCCCACCCACAGTCTACTGTCTCTGGGCCTAATTCAACACTGGGACTCAACTGACAAATCTCTGTCCTTATGGCCTAGACTGCCTTTCAAGTTTACTTGGAGACACAGAGTGCTGTAGCCTGCAGTGATGAGGATTGTGGGAACTCAAGTTCCCAGGTGATCCCGCTGGTTAAAATGTTCCCTCCGTGGGCAGGCATCAGCTGAGTTTGGTCTGGTTTTCCTTTCCGTTCTAACAGGACAGGATGGAGTTTAATGCCTCACAATTGCTGTATTCTTTCCCGCCCCCCAGTGCCCAGAGATGTTCTCCATACCATGCCACACTGCCAGGGATGGGGAAAGGGCAGCATCGATGATTCAAGACTATATTTTCTGCTTCTTCAGTGCCTCTTTTATGAAGTTAAAACCAGGTACCATGAATACTCACCTGATTTTTGGTTCCTATGAAGGTGTTTTTTCTGTGTAGGTAGTTGTTAACTTGGTGTCCTTGTGGATGAATGATGGAGTTTTCTGTTTCACCATCTTGCTATTCCCTGTATTATATCTAATTCTAATAACAATCCTGTAGATTAAACTTATTCACTATTCCAAATTGAGAAAATGAGTCTCAGAGAGCATAGTAGGTTTCCCAAGATAACACAGTAATTGAAAACATCTGAATGTAATCCTATCGCTGCTTTGCTCTAAAGTGTCTTCTTTACTGTCTTACTTTTTATATTCCCTGTATTATGACATATTGTGTTTTCCCATGGCAGTTTCTTCTCTCTTCACTAGGTTCTATTTCTTGAAAATATCATCTTCTATTACATCAGCTACCTTCACTGGACAGACTGACTTAAATCTGAACTCCATTGCCTTATCTCCCCTATACCCTTCCTACCTTATGTTCACATATCCCACCCTGTAAGCTTCACTTTCTTACTGCTGCCAGTTGTGCCCAATACTATTAGTTAATTAGTCTTGAATAACACATTCTGATTTCCCCACACTTCAGCTTTCTATTGTTGTTTCTACTTTATGACGATTTCTCCTAAATGATGTCCCTTTTACACTGGCAATGGTATAAAGTGAATCAGGGCCTCATTGTTTTTGCCCAGGCCATATCAAGGGTCCATTTCAAGATCATTTTGAATCTTAAACAGAGTTGTAAACGAATATTCCTAACACAGTAGCTTCCTTCACAATATTTATTTTTGCTCATGAATCTTCATGAAATTTATGCTTAAGTACTGAATCTGGTAAATAATTCCTCCCAAGATGAAACCCAGACTTCTCTAATGCAAGCTGTACTGCCTTCCTGCCACCATTAAGGAATCTGGTTCTTCAAGTCAAAGGGAATTTTAAAAACTAGACTTATTCACTTATCTATTTTGTTTGTGCTTTTAGGAGCGCAGACAAATAATACAGCTTTTAGGAGCCAAACTCAATTTCCTTTCACATATCTTATTATAAATCTTGCTTACTGATTATTTAGAATATAGGTAATTTGAAATAAAGCACTATATTGTATATGTGTGTATGTGTATTTTATCATGATGCATCATATTTGTTTTGAAAACTTTAGCAATGTTATATTTTTCAAATTTATTACTTTCTGAGATTACATATTTTCAAAAAAATTTGGAAAATTAGGAGTAGGCCAACTCTTTCTCTCTCTATATATAATATACACATACACACATATGCTCATATAGATACACACCAAATATGTAGTACATATATGTATACATGTGTATATATGCAAATATATTTTATACATAATGTGTATGCATATCTTTATAATATAATAAGCAAATCATGTGTTTATATTTGACAGTATTTTTAAAACTAATGTTAATTTTTTTTACCTCTACTTGATTTATTCATTTGATGTGTTTCCTCTCTGTTTTATGAATCTTGATCATTTTTCAACAGGCATTTATGTTCTCCATTTAAAAAAATCATGCTTTTTCCATGTATCTAAGTTTTGATATGTACTACATAGAATAGAACAGTGTGAAAATGAGGTGGTGGGAAGAACCATCAAGAAAAAGTTTTCTGTTTTAAATGTTTTTTGATATTTTCTGTTTGCATTCTGAATTTATCATGTGTCTTTTCTCATTGTTTTTTTCTATATGACTCTATATATAGTTATATACAATTATATACATTAAGATTAAAAGAAATTATTATGAGAATACTGTATTTAGTGCCACTTTAAAAGTAAAACTTTTAATTTGTATAGCTGTTATTATCTGAAAACAATAATATTTCTTCTTTTGTGTGGATTTTTTTATCTTGTACATGATTCTTCAAATTATACTAGAAGTTTGTAAAGAACACTTATCCAGCTATAGGACAATATAATAATTGGAGAGCTAAAATCCTTGCTGCTAAATGCTTCCTTCTAATGGCATTAAACATATGCTTTAAATGTAGTTAGTTAAGGAAAAATCAAATTTAGAAGTCTTTAAAAGTCAAGACGGAAACTTGACATGATAAAGAAAATATAAAATTGTCTGTAGTGGAGACAATAATACTCACCAAATAGTCTATTTACACCCCCGCATTTCCCATTCTTCCTTGCAAAGTCATGTGATTGTGTTTACCAATGAAATTGAAGAATAAGCATATAATTTCCAGGCTGACGCAGTCAAAAGCCCATAAAGAATGCTTCAGTCTTAATTCCCTCTTTTGTGGCAAGCAAAACGGTTGCATATTCCAGAAAATGCGTATGGTGGTATTTCTGTCAATCTAAGCCCTTGAGAAACTATAGGAAGCACAGATGTACGACTCCACTTGATCGCCACATTAGCATGTGTTATGTGCCTAAACAAATGTTTGTTTTGGTAAGTCACTGGAATTCTAAGGGTTAATTTCTTATTTATTTATTTATTTATTTATTTATTTATTTATTTATTTGTATTATACTTTAAGTTTTAGGGTACATGTGCACATTGTGCAGGTTAGTTACATACGTATACATGTGCCATGCTGGTGTGCTGCCCCCACTAACTCGTCATCTAGCATTAGGTATATCTCCCACTGCAATCCCTCCCTCCTCCCCCACGCCACAACAGTCCCCAGAGTGTGATGTTCCCCTTCCTTTGTCTATGTGATCTCATTGTTCAATTCCCACCTATGAGTGAGAATATGCGGTGTTTGGTTTTTTGTTCTTGTGATAGTTTACTGAGAATGATGATTTCCAATTTCATCCATGTCCCTACAAAGGACATGAACTCATCATTTTTTATGGCTGCATAGTATTCCATGGTGTATATGTGCCACATTTTCTTAACTCAGTCTATCATTGTTGGACATTTGGGTTGGTTCCAAGTCTTTGCTATTGTGAATAATGATGCAATAAACATAAGTGTGCATGTTTCTTTATAGAAGCATGATTTATAGTCCTTTGGGTATGTACCCAGTAATGGGATGCCTGGGTCAAATGGTATTTCTAGCTCTAGATCCCTGAGGAATCGCCACACTGACTTCCACAAGGGTTGAACTAGTTTACAGTACCCTCAACAGTGTAAAAGTTCCTATTTCTCCACATCCTCTCCAGCACCTGTTGTTTCCTGACTTTTTAATGATTGCCATTCTAACTGGTGTGAGCTGGTATCTCATTGTGGTTTTGATTTGCATTTCTCTGATGGCCAGTGATGGTGAGCATTTTTTCATGTGTTTTTTGGCTGCATAAATGTCTTCTTTTGAGAAGTGTCTGTTCATGTCCTTTGCCCACTTTTTGATGGGGTTGTTTGTTTTTTTCTTGTAAATTTCTTTGAGTTCATTGTAGATTCTGGATATTAGCCCTTTGTCAGATGAGTAGGTTGTGAAAATTTTCTCCCATTTTGTAGGTTGCCTGTTCACTCTGATGGTAGTTTATTTTGCTGTGCAGAAGCTCTTTAGTTTAATTAGATCCCATTTGTCAATTTTGGCTTTTGTTGCCATTGCTTTTGGTGTTTTAGACATGAAGTCCTTGCCCATGCCTATGTCCTGAATGGTAATGCCTAGGTTTTCTTCTAGGGTTTTTATGGTTTTAGGTCTAACGTTTAAGTCTTTAATCCATCTTGAATTAATTTTTGTATAAGGTGTAAGGAAGGGATCCAGTTTCAGCTTTCTACATATGGCTAGCCAGTTTTCCCAGCACCATTTATTAAATAGGGAATCCTTTCCCCATTGCTTGTTTTTCTCAGGTTTGTCAAAGATCAGATAGTTGTAGATATGCGGCATTATTTCTGAGGGCTCTGTTCTCCTCCATCGATCTATATCTCTGTTTTGGTACCAGTACCATGCTGTTTTGGTTACTGTAGCCCTGTAGTATAGTTTGAAGTCAGGTAGGGTGACACCTCCAGCTTTGTTCTTTTGGCTTAGGATTGACTTGGCGATGCAGGCTCTTTTTTGGTTCCATATGAACTTTAAATAGTTTTTTCCAATTCTGTGAAGAAAGTCATTGGTAGCTTGATGGGGATGGCATTGAATCTATAAATTACCTTGGGCAGTATGGCCATTTTCACGATATTGATCCTTCCTACCCATGAGCATGGAATGTTCTTCCATTTGTTTGTATCCTCTTTTATTTCCTTGAGCAGCGGTTTGTAGTTCTCCTTGAAGAGGTCCTTCACATCCCTTGTAAGTTGGATTCCTAGGTATTTTATTCTCTTTGAAACAATTGTGAATGGGAGTTCACACATGATTTGGCTCTCTGTTTGTCTGTTATTGGTGTATAAGAAAGCTTGTGATTTTTGCACATTGATTTTGTATCCTGAGACTTTGCTGAAGTTGCTTATCAGCTTAAGGAGACTTGGGGCTGAGACGATGGGGTTTTGTAGATATACAATCATGTCATCTGCAAACAGGGACAATTTGACTTCCTCTTTTCCTAATTGAATACTCTTTATTTCCTTCTCCTGCCTGATTGCCCTGGCCAGCACTTCCAACACTATGTTGAATAGGAGTGGTGAGAGAGGGCATCCCTGTCTTGTGCCAGTTTTCAAAGGGAATGTTTCCAGTTTTTGCCCATTCAGTATGATATTGGCTGTGGGTTTGTCATAGATAGCTCTTATTATTTTGAGATACTTCCCATCAATACCTAATTTATTGAGAGTTTTTAGCATGAAGGGTTGTTGAATTTTGTCAAAGGCCTTTTCTGCATCTATTGAGATAATCATGTGTTTTTTGTCTTTGGTTCTGTTTATATGCTGGATTACATTTATTGATTTGCGTATGTTGAACCACGCTTGCATCCCAGGGATGAAGCCCACTTGATCATGGTGGATAAGCTTTTTGAAGTGTTGCTGGATTCGGTTTGCCAGTATTTTATTGAGGATTTTTGCATCAATGTTCATCAGAGATATTGGTCTAAAATTTTCATTTTTTGTTGTGTCTCTGCCTGGCTTTGGTATCAGGATGATGCTGGCCTCATAAAATGACTTAGGGAGGATTCCCTCTTTTCTATTGATTGGAATATTTTCAGAAGGAATGGTACCAGCTCCTCCTTGTACCTCTGGTAGAATCTGGCTGTGAATCCTTCTGGTCCTGGACTTTTTTTGGTTGGTAAGCTATTAATTATTGCCTTAATTTCAGAGCCTGTTATTGGTCTATTCAGAGATTCAACTTCTTCCTGGTTTAGTCTTTGGAGGGTATATGTGTTGAGGAATTTATCCATTTCTTCTAGATTTTATAGTTTATTTGCTTAGAGTTGTTTATAGTATTCTCTGATGGTAGTTTGTATTTCTGTGGGATTGGTGGTGATATCCCCTTTATCATTTTTTATTGCATCTATTTGATTCTTCTCTCTTTTCTTCTATGTTAGTCTGGCTAGAGGTCTATCAATTTTGTGGATCTTTTCAAAAAACCAGCTCCTGGATTCATTGATTTTTTGAAGGGTTTTTTGTGTCTCTATTTCCTTCAGTTCTGTTCTGATTTTAGTTATTTCTTGCCTTCTGCTAGCTTTTGAATGTGTTTGCTCTTGCTTCTCTAGTTCTTTTAATTGTGATGTTAGGGCATCAATTTTAGATCTTTCCTGCTTTCTCTTGTGGGCATTTAGTGCTATAAGTTTCCCTCTACACACTGCTTTGAATGTGTCCCAGAGATTCTTGTATGTTGTGTCTTTGTTCTCGTTGGTTTCAAAGAACATCTTTATTTCTGCCTTCATTTCATTATGTACCCAGTAGTCATTCAGGAGCAGGTTGTTCAGTTTCCATGTAGTTGAGTGATTTTGAGTGAGTTTCTTAATCCTGAGTCCTAGTTTGATTGCACTGTGGTCTGAGAGACAGTTTGTTATAATTTCTGTTCTTTTACATTTCCTGAGGAGTGCTTTACTTCCAACTATGTGGTCAATTTTGGAATAGGCGTGGTGTGGTGCTGAAAAGAATGTATATTCTGTTGATTTGGGGTGGAGAGTTCTGGAGATGTCTATTAGGTCCGCTTGGTGCAGAGCTGAGTTCAATTCCTGGATATCCTTGTTAACTTTCTGTCTCGTTGATCTGTCTAATGTTGACAGTGGGGTGTTAAAATCTCCCATTATTATTGAGTGGGAGTCTAAGTCTCTTTGTAGGTCTCTGAGGACTAGTTTTATGAATCTGGGTGCTCCCGTATTGGGTGCATATATATTTAGGATAGTTAGCTCTTCTTGCTGAATTGATCCCTTTACCATTATGTAATGGCCTTCTTTGTCTCTTTGATCTTTGTCGGTTTAAAGTCTGTTTTATCAGAGACTGTCGGTTTAAAGTCTGTTTTATCAGAGACTAGGATTGCAACCCCTGCCTTTTTTTGTTTTCCATTTGCTTGGTAGGTCTTCCTCCATCCCTTTATTTTGAGCCTATGTATGTCTCTGCACGTGAGATGGGTCTCCTGAATACAGCACACTGATGGGTCTTGACTCTTTATCCAATTTGGCAGTCTGTGTCTTTTAATTGGAGCATTTAGACCATTTACATTTAAGATTAATATTGTTATGTGTGAATTTGATCCTGTCATTATGATGTTAGCTGGTTATTTTGCTCCTTAGTTGATGCAGTTTCTCCCTAGCCTCAGTGGTCTTTACAATTTGGCATGTTTTTGCAGTGGCTGGTACTGGTTTTTCCTTTCCATGTTTAGTGCTTCCTTCAGGAGCTCTTTTAGGGCAGGCCTGGTGGTGACAAAATCTCTCAGCATTTGCTTGTCTGTAAAGGATTTTATTTCTCCTTCACTTATGAAGCTTAGTTTGGCTGGATATGAAATTCTGGGTTGAAAATTCTTTTCTTTAAGAATGTTGAATATTGGCCCCCACTCTCTTCTGGCTTGTAGAGTTTCTGCCGAGAGATCAACTGTTAGTCTGATGAGCTTCCCTTTGAGGGTAACCCGACCTTTCTCTCTGGCTGCCCTTAACATTTTTTCCTTCATTTCAACTTTGGTGAATCTGACAATTATGTGTCTTGGAGTTGCTCTTCTTGAGGAGTATCTTTGTGGCCTTCTCTGTATTTCCTGAATTTGAATGTTGGCTTGCCTTGCTAGATTGGGGAAGTTCTCCTGGATAATATCCTGCAGAGTGTTTTCCAACTTGGTTCCATTCTCCCCGTCACTTTCAAGTACACCAATCAGACATAGATTTGGTCTTTTCACATAGTCCCCTATTTCTTGGAGGCTTTGTTCATTTCTTTTTATTCTTTTCTCTCTAAGCTTCTCTTCGTGCTTCATTTCATTCATTTGCTCTTCCATCACTGATACCCTTTCTTCCAGTTGATTGAATTGGCTACCAAGGCTTGTGCATTTGTCATGTAGTTCTTGTGCCTTGGTTTTCAGCTCCATCAGGTCATTTAAGGACTTCTCTGCATTGGTTATTCTAGTTAGCCATTCGTCTAATTTTTTTTCAAGGTTTTTAACTTCTTTGCCATGGGTTCGAACTTCCTCCTTTAGCTCGGAGTAGTTTGATCGTCTGAAGCCTTCTTCTCTCAACTCGTCAAAGTCATTCCCCGTCCAGCTTTGTTCCATTGCTGGTGAGGAGCTGCATTCCTTTGGAGAAGGAGAGGCGCTCTGATTTTTTGAGTTTCCAGTTTTTCTGCTCTGTTTTTTCCCATTCTTTGTGGTTTTATCTACCTTTGGTCTTTGACAATGGTGACGTACAGATGGGATTTTGGTGTGGATGTCCTTTCTGTTTGTTAGTTTTCCTTCTAACAGTCAGGAGTCTCAGCCGCAGGTCTGTTGGAGTTTGCTGGAGGTCCACTCCAGACCCTGTTTGGCTGGGTATCAGCAGCAGAGGCTGCAGAACAGCAAATTTTGGTGAACAGCAAATGTTGCTGCCTCATCGTTCCTCTGGAAGTTTTGTCTCAGAAGAGTACCCAGCAGTGTGAGGTGTCAGTCTGCCCCTACTGGGGGGTGCCTCCCAGTTAGGCTACTCAGGGGTCAGGGACCCACTTGAGAAGGGAGTCTGTCTGTTCTCAGCTCTCCAGCTGCGTGCTGGGAGAACCACTACTCTCTTCAAAGCTGTCAGACAGGGACACTTAAGTTTGCAGAGGACTCTGCTGCCTTTTGTTTGGCTTTGCCCTGCCCCCAGAGGTGGAGTCTACACAGGCAGGCAGGCCTCCTTGAGCTGCAGTGGGCTCCACCCAGTTTGAGCTTCCAGGAGGCTTTGTTTACCTCCTCAAGACTCAGCAATGGTGGGCGCCCCTCCCCCAGCCTTGCTGCTGCCTTGCAGTTTGATCTCAGACTGCTGTGCTAGCAATGAGCGAGGCTCGGTGGGCATAGGACCCTCCAAGCCAGAAGCGGGATATAATCTCCTGGTGTGCCATTTACTAAGACTGTTGGAAAAGCACAGTATTAGGGTGGGAGTGACCCGATTTTCCAGGTGCCATCTGTCACCCCTTTCTTTGACTAGGAAAGGGAATTCCCTGACCCCTTGCACTTCTCAGGTGAGGCGATGCCTCAACCTGCTTTTGCTCATGCTGGGTGCGCTATACCCACTGTCCTGCACCCACTTTCTGACTTTCCCCAGTGAGATGAACCCGGTACCTCAGTTGGAAATGCAGAAATCACCCGTCTTCTGTCTTCTGCGTTGCTCACGCTGGGAGCTGTAGACTGGAGCTGTTCCTATTTGGCCATCTTGGCTCCACACCAATGTTTTATAGTTTTCATTGTAAATATCTTCACTTCTTTGGTTAAATTTATTCCTAGCTCTTTTATTTTATTTGTAGCTATTGTAAATGGGATTACTTTCTTGATTTCTTTTTCAGAGTGTTCACTGTTGTCATATAAATATGCTCCTGATTTCTATGTTGATTTTATATCCTTGCAACTTTACTAATTTTATTTATGAGTTTGCATAGATTTTTGGTGGAGTGTTTAGGTTTTTCCAAACATAAGATAATATCAGGCTGGGCACAGTGACTCATGCCTGTAATCCCAGCACTTTGGGAGGCCAAGGCAGGTGGATCACTTGAGGTCAGGAGTTCAAGACCAGGCTGGCCAACATGGCAAGACTCTGTCTCTACTAAAAATACAGAAATTAGCTGGACATGGTGGCAGGCACCTGTAATCCCAGTTACTCAGAAGCCTGAGGTGAGAGAATCACTTGAACCCATGAAGCAGGTATTGTAGTGAGCCAAGGTGGAACCATTGCCCTCCAATCTGGGTGACAGAGTGAGACTCTGTCTCAAAAACACAAACAAAACAACAACATAAAAGATAATATCATCAAGAGTAATTTGATTTCTTCCTTTCCAATTTGGATGCCTTTTATTTGTTTCTATTTTCTGTTTGCTATAGTTAGGACTTCTAGTACTATGTTGAATAACAGTGGTGAAAATGAGCATCCTTGTCTTGCTCTAGATCTTATAGGAAAGGCTTTCAGTTTTTCCCTGTTCAGTATAATAGCAGCTGTGGGTCTGTCTTATATGGGTTTTATTGTGTCAAGGTATGTTCCTTCTATTTCCAGTTTTTTGAGGGTTTTCATCATGAAGGAATGTTGAATTTTATCAGATGCTTTTCAGCATCAATTGAAATAATCATAAAGTTTTTCCTTCATTCTGTTGATATGATGTATTACATTGGTTGATTTGCATACGTTAAGCCATCCTTGCATCCCTAGGATACATCCTACTTGGTTATGATGAATGATCTTTTTTGTGGTGTTGAATTTGGTTTGTCAGCATTTTATTGAGGATTTTTGCATTAGTGTTTATGAAGGATATTGTAGTTTTCATTTTTGAAGTGTCTTTGGTTTTGGTATCAGGCTAATGCTGGCCTTGTAGAATAAGTTTGGATGTATTCTCTTCTGCTCCATTTTTCATAATATTCTGAGTAGGACTGATATTATTTCTTATTTAAATATTTGGTAAAATTGACATCAAGTCCTGAGCATTTCTTTGCAGGACACTTTTTATTATGGCTTTGATCTCATTACTTATTATTGGTCTACTAAAGTTTTAGACTTCATGTTTCAATCTTGCAGGTTGTATATGTCTAGAAATTTATCCATTTCTTCTAGGTTTTCCAGTTTATTGGCATATAGTTGCTCATATTAGTTTCTAATAATTCTTTGAATTTCTGCTGTGTTAGTTGTAATTTCTCCATTTTCATATTGGATTTTATTTATTTGGGTCTTCTTTCTTTTTTTCTTAGTCTAGTTAAAGGTTTGTTGATTTTGTTTATCTGTTCACAAACAAACTTTTTGTTTCATTTATCTTTTGTGTTTTGTTTCAATTTCATTGATTTCTGCTGTTTTCTTTATAATTTTTCTTCTACTAATTTTGGGTTTTGTTTGCTCTAACTTTTCTAGTTCTTTAAGATGCATTATTAATTTTTTTATTTAAAGTTTTTCTACTTTTTCGATGTAGCTGCTCATTTGAATAAACATTCCTCTCAGTACTGCTTTCCTTGCATCCCATAGGTTTGTTGTGTTTCCATTTTCCTTTGTTTCAAGATATCTTTAAATTCCCTTCTTGATTTCTTCATTAACCTTCTGGTCATTCAGCAGCATGTTGTTTAATTTCCATGTGTTTGTATAGTTTCCAAACTTCCTCTTGCTATTAATTTCTCATTTTGTTCTACTGTGTCAGAGAAGATACTTGATATGGTTTCAATTATTTTGAAATCTTTAAGGTTTGTTTTGTGGCTTAATATATGGTCTGTCTTTGAGAATGATTCATGTGCTGAGGTGATGAATATGTATTCTTCAACTGTTGGATAAAATGTTCTTTAAATATCTATTAGGACCATTTGGCCTATATTGCACATTAAGTCTAATGTTTCTTTGTTGATTTTTTGTCTGGATGATCTGTCCAATGCTGTAAGTGGAGTGTTGAAGTCTCCAGCTATTATTGCATTGGAGTCTCTCTCTCACTTTAGCTCTAATACTATTTGCTTTATATATCTGGGTGCTCCAGGATTGGGTGCACATATTTACAATTTTTATACTCTTTGTGAATTAACCCCTTTATCAATATATAATGACCATCTTTGGCTCTTTCTAGTATTTGTCTTGAAATAATTTTGTCTGATGTAAGCTTAGCTACTCCTGCTCATTGTTGGTTTCTATTTGAATGAAATATCGAAGTTGTCTTATT
Organism: Homo sapiens; assembly: GCF_000001405.40. Lineage (NCBI taxonomy): Eukaryota > Metazoa > Chordata > Mammalia > Primates > Hominidae > Homo > Homo sapiens. The sequence goes on along the minus strand of NC_000006.12, from coordinate 68,281,425 downwards.
GAAGTTAAACCAGTTTGATATTCTATAACTTTCTTGTACTTGAATATTTGTATATTTATCTGGTTAGGAAAGTTATCTGTTATTATCCCCTTGAATATAATTTCTACCCCAATGTCTTTCTCTGCTTCCTCTTCAATAACTCTTAGATTTGCCCTTTTGAGGCTATTTTCTAAATCTTGCAGTCATGCTTCATTCTATTTTATTTATTATTCTTTTGTCTCCTCTGACTATGTATTATAAAATAGCCTGTATTCAATCTCACAATTCTTTCTTCTGGTTTATCAATTCTGGTGTTGAGGGACTCCAATGCATTCTTCAGTATGTCTATTAAATTTTCAGCTCCAGAATTTCTTCTTGATTTTAAATAAATATTCAATCTCTTTGTTAAATTTATCAGATAGGATTCTAAATTCCTTTTCTGTTTTATCTTGAATTTTGTTGAGCTTCCTCAAAAAAATTTGAAGTCTCTGTCTGAGGGTAACATATCTCTGTCTCTCCAGGATTAGTCACTGGTGTCTTATTTGGTTCATTCAGTGATATCATGTTTTTCTGGATGGTCTAGATGTTTGTAGATTTTAGTCAATGATTGGTCATTGAAGAGTTAGGTATATATTGTAGTCTTCACAGTCTGGGGTTGTTTCTTCCTGCCCTTCTTGGGAAAGTCTTCCAAATATTCAAAGGGAATTAAGTGTTGTGATCTAAGACTTTGGTCACTGCAGCCATACCTGCATTAGGAGACATATCAAGCCCAGCAATGCTGTGACATTTGCAGATTTGAAGAGGTACTGCCTTGGTGCTCTTGGGTGAGATCTGTGAGAATTCCTTAGATTACCTTGGCAGGTCTAACAGTGACATCTAGGAGCAAAGGCCTGGAATCGGGGACTTCAGGGGTCTGCTCAGTGCTTTATTTTACTGCTGCTGAGCTGTTACCCAAGTTACAGGACAAAGTCCTTTTTACTCTTCCTTTTCCTTTCCTCAAGTAGGAGTTTCTCCTTGTGGCCACCACAGCTGGGAATGTGCTGAGTCACACTTGAAGCCAGTATGGTACTGGGTCTTGTCCAATGACCATGGTGAGTACTGTCAGGCTACCACTGATATTTATTCAAAGCCGCAGGGCTCTTTTGTCAGCTGATGATGAATCCTGCTAAGACTAAGTTCTTCCCTTCAGGAAAGTTGGTTTCCTTCTGTTCCAGGGATTTTCTGGAAATGTTGCCTGGGAACTAAGGCCTGGAACTGGGACTTCAAGACTTCTTTTGGTGCTTTATTTTACTGTGGCTAAGCTGGTATCCAAGTTGTAAGACTAAGTCCTCTTTACCCTCCCCTCTCCATTTCTCAAGTGGAAGGAAAGAGTCTCTCCAGGAGCAGTAAGCTGCCCTGCCTGTGGTTGAGAAGGGGTGACACAAGCACTCTCTTGGTCGCCCCAGCTGTTGTCTCAGTGGATCACATACACTCCAAGTCCACTGGCTCTGAGCCCAGCCCAGAAGCAGTACTTGTCCAGGAATTACAGTCCTTGTAGCCTAGATTGTCTTTCAACTTTTCTTAAGACCCTAGAACACTTTAGTGTGGTGTGTGGCTAGTCATAACTCATGTTCTGCCCACTGGGGTAGATGATTCCCCTCTGGCTAGGGCTGACCTAAATGTTCATTCCTTGGGTGCTGGCTGAATTCTTCCCTGTGTTGCTTTCCACTGTTACAGAACCACACTGAGTTCTACTGCAGAGGCCCACAATCACTGCACTCTCCCTCCCCCTATCACACAGATTTTCTCTCCCTACCATGCAACCACATGACCATTGCCAGGGGATCAGGGACAGCTGGGGCCGACAATTCAAGACTGTCTTTCCTAGCCTCTTTAGTGCCTCTTTTCCTTGATAGGGTGTTAAAATCAGATACTGTAATCACTCACCTGATTTTCAGTTCTTATGCAGATGATTTCTTGTGTGGATAGTTGCTCAATTTAAAGTTCTTGCAGAGGGAAAATCACCGGAGGCTTCTGTTTGGCTACCTTGCTCTGCCTCCTATGAGCTATTCTTAATGTTTCCACATGGAAGGATTTTCTTTAGCATAAATCTTGAGGCCCCTTCATGTCTTCTGTATTTTCATATGCTCTGTTCCTATACTGGAGAAACCATGATCTGATTGGTATGTTTTGAAGAAAAAAAAAATTAACAAGCCTTGGTCAACCTCTTCCTCTCTTTCTCTCTTCTCTCTTTCTCTTAGAAATGATGATCCCAGACAATGAAAATGCTTATCTTATTTTCCATGCTGTAAATCTTACAGAAGTAAGCCTCCTATGTGGGAAGAGCTTTCTAGATCTGGTGCTGCTGTTACTGGCTGCAAAATTCTGCCTGTATCTAGGACTCAGTATTTTTAAGAATACCTGTCTATAGATATAAACCATGATTCAGACTCAGTTCAGCTTTATCTACATTAAGACAATTTTTCTAATCTGCTTTACTATGCGTTATATTCAATTTAGTTCAGAATTTATTCAAATAAGATATGCATTTTTAATTGGGACCTGCTATATTTTCCAGTAGTCACTACCATTCATAGGATAAAGCGCTTTTCACACAGTAGCATAGCTATTCTAATTATAGTCATTTTATAGATGTGAACACTAAATGCTTGAGAAATTAAGAAATCTTGTTAATGGTCACACTGCGTGTACTAGCTATCTATAGCTGTGTAACAAATTACTACAAAACGTAGGGGCTTAACACAATGCCAGTTTATTACTGCAGTTTGTGTGGGTTAAGAATTTGGCTAAACAGCAAAAGAAACTATCATCAGAGTGAACAGACAACCTACAGAATGGGAGAAAAATTGTGCAGTTTATCCATCTGACAAAGACCTAATATCCAGAAACTATAAGGAATTGAAACAAATCTATAAGAAAAAAACAAAGAAACAATTCCATGAAAAAGTGGGCAAAGGACATGAACAGACATTTATCAAAAGAAGACATTTATGCACCAACAAACATATGAAAAAATCTCAATATCCCTGATTATTAGAGAAATGCAAATCAAAACTACAATGAGATACCATCTTATGCCAGTCAGAATGGTAATTATTAAAAAGTTAAGAAACAACAGATGCTGGCAAGGTGGCAGAGAAATAGGAATGTTTCTACATTGCTGGTGAGAATGTAAATCAGTTTAACCATTGTGGAAGACAGTGTGTGATTCCTCAAAGACCTAGAGGCAGAAACACCATTTGACCCAGCAATCCCTTTACTGGGTATATACTCAAAGGAATATAAATCATTCTATTATAAAGACACAATAGCAAAAACATGGAATCAACCTAAATGCCCATCAATGATAGAGTGGAAAAAGAAAATGTGGTATATATACACCATGGAATACTATGCAGCCATAAAAAAACGAATGAGATCATGTTCTTTTCAGGGACATGAATGGAGCTGGAACCCATTATCCTTAGCAAACTAGTGCAAGAACAGAAAATGAAAAACCACATGTTCTCACTCATAAGTTGAGGCTGAACAATGAGAGCATATAGTCACAGAGAGGGGAACAACACACACTGGGGCCTGTTGAATGGGTGAAAGGAAAAATAGCTAATGCATGCTGGGCTTAATACCTAAGTGATGGGTTGATAGGTGCAGCAAACCACCTCGGCACAGTTTTAACTAAGTAACAAACTTGAACATCCTGCACATGTACCCAGGAACTTAAAATAAAATAAAATAAAATAAAATAAAATAAAAAGAATTTGGCTACACTTTACTTAAGTCCCCTCTTCTTGTTTTCTCAAGAGACTGTAATAAAAGTGTTGGCCAAATGAGTACAGTCTCATTTGAAGATTCAACTGGAGAAGTATCTGCTTCTAAGCTAATTCAATAGTTATTGGCTATATTCAGTTCCTTGCAAGTTATTGACTGGAGGTCAAGTTCAGTTCATTGCCACATGGACCTCTCCATGGCAGCTTGCTTTCTCATATAAGGGAAGTTGAGAAGGCAATAGATGGTCTGCTAGCAAGATAGAAATTACAATCTTTTGTAACCTCATCATGGAAGAGGTATCCCATCACCTTTGCTGTATTACATTGGTTATATTCAAATCATTAGGTCCAGCCTGCAATCCAGAGAAGAGGATTACACAGGGGCATAACTACTATAAGACGGAGATCTTTAGAGACCATCTTAGAAGTCTTCCTACCACACTGTGATTAAGTATAAGAGTCAGTATTTCAGTATTTGAATCCATTTCTTCTGACGTCAGAATTCATATTCCCAGCCACATCATTAGTTGAGAGTAGCCTCTGCCCTCCACAGGGCTGGAGTATGTAGTGAGTATATAACTCTATAATTCTCTACTTCTACCCTTCCATTTCTGGCAAGCCAATATCTAATAAATATAATCTTTTCAAGAAAATTTAGAACAGAATCTTCAGGTCATGGTTAAGCTTTCACTTGGGCATCACTTTTAGGTGAGTTTACTTATCTCTGTTAGAGGTACAATATATATGTATATATATAAAATTTTTTTCTTGAGACGGAGTCTTGCTCTGTCGCCAGGCTGGAGTGCAGTGATCTCGGCTCACTGCAACCTTCGCCTCCCGGGTTCAAGTGATTCTCCTGCCTCAGATTCCCGAGTAGCTGGGACTACAGGCGCGTGCCACCACACCTGAGTAATTTTTTGTATTTTAGTAGAGACAGGGTTCACCATGTTGGCCAGGATGATCTCGATCTCCTGACCTCGTGATCCACCCCTCGCAGCCTCCCAAAATGCTGGGATTACAGTGGTGAGCCGCCGCTCCCGGCCATGTTTTTGTATTTTTAACTCTCAGATCAGTATTTCTTTCCAGGTTTATTTAGCCTCCACAAATCAATCATTCAGAGCACAAATTACCTCTAAAGTCTATTTTTAAAGTTAAACATTAATTTTTAATACTAAGGAAGTAATTCTAAATTAAATATGTTAATCAACCTAAATTAATCTTTTACTTATATGAAGCAGTTTTATTTCTCTGTATGCATTTTAAAGTCAAATATAAGCCTCTATTTATATTACTCTCCAAATTTTATCAATTTATTTGAGTATCTCTACAGATATACAAGGTGAATTGTACATAGCTTTAGAGACAAGAGAAAATTATTTTTGTATAACAGTAATGTTTTAAGTGCTTTATTCCCCTTGCTTATTTTTATAATGAACAATATCAACATCATCAGGAAGATTCATAAGATAATCAAAGTTCACATCCAAAGATATCACATTTTTTCCAGTGGGTAGGACTTATATGTTTCCCAATTAATTACATTATAATACTTTAAATGGTGTCTCCACTTTCAAATCATTTAAGTAGGGATTTCAAATACTTCAGGTTTAGGCTCTTCTGCTTCACAGACTCAGACTCTGATTCAAGTAGATATTTATGTATTCATAAACACTTAACCAGACTGGTGGAGTGTCTCTTTATAAAATCTTGCAGTAGTTTATTATAACATAAATTATTCCCACTTAATCTGTCTATAAATGTAAATTTTTCTTTTATATTTCTGAAAGCTATATGAACTTATTATCAAGAACAAGCTCTGAAACACAAAATGCTCCATTTGTCCAGCAAATATTAAGTCAATCAAAATTATTACTTGCTTTTAAACGTAAATCCTTATAGTGCCCCATATTTCTGAATAATCTCTTTGGATTTTGCAGTATTCCATAATTAACACCCTAACTGTTCGTACATCTCCTCTTTTATTTGCTATTCCATCCCTTGAGGTCTCTCAATTTTTTAAATTTTCTTTGTGATAGTCATTGGAAAAAACATAACATTTGACCTTTCATAAAAAAATAGTAGTGGCTTCTTTCTTATTCTCTGTAGGCATTGTCAAATGCAACTATGCCTTCAGAAAGGTCTTGTAACTTATTAAATTTTTTTGTTAGCACAGTAAAAATTCATAAACTTTTCTTTGACAAACTAAAGAATAAAATGTAGGCACTCTGTTAAAAGTTACTTAATATATGAATGTGTGGGAAATATAATCAATATTGCTGCTTTGTTCCCATTGTGTCATACAACATTAACAATTACGATTATTGAAATTATTTTAGGAAAATAGTTGTTAGTAACTCGAAATTATTTCTGAATTAAAATATTATTATTTGAGTGAACTTTTTAAAATAAACTGTGCTCTAAAGCCATTTATTTTATAATTGTAAATGAAGGCACATTTGAAATAACCCAGCGTTGAAGCTCACTGTGTGTAAAATATAGGTTTGATATCATACAACCACACATATTTTAGAAACTCAGCCTAAAGAAAAGTGTTCCTCAGCTTTGTCCAACAGAAGGTTTAATTTGGATCACGAGAACATTAAGTTCTTTTTACATTGACCATTTATGATATTTATCCCAAATGCTAATTCAGAACCTGCCATATGGTAATGGAAAGCCATTCAGCAAACACATAATGAAAACAATTCTGATCCTGTATTTTACTGTCAATCTATGCCAATCTTAAACTATAGCAAATTGTAGGGCTTTTGTGGAATTTTAAGACTTATTTTTTCTGTTGGATTTGATTCATTATATTTTTAAATATTTTTTGACATTTGAGATAGGAGTACTGGAGCTATTCACCAAAACATTTATCACTGAATATAAATATCAGACAACATATCTGGGAATGTGTAGAACCAACATAGTATGAGAAAGAGAAATCTCTAAACTCAGTAACCTTTAGCAAAATATCAATCAAGTATGTGGAAGATAGAGAATCTAATTTAACAATATATTTACATAAAATAATGCAGGATTCTTAGACCTAGCTACATATTAAAATTGCATTTTGATCACTTTACAAATTATCGGAGGTTCATCTTCAGACATCCTGATTTAGTAACTCTGGGACAGGGTCAGAACATCTGCATTTCTAAATAAATCTTGACAATTTTTATTTACAGCTAGCCTTAAAAATCATTTAAATTCTATAATAGTAGGAATTAATATTATGCAGCATGGTTTATTTGTGTATTATAAAGATATATTTGCCTATGTGCTCAGAAATTATTTCACATTAGGGATTGATTCTTATAATTATTGTTACAATATTAAATATTTAGTGAATTATTCCTATGGATTCTTACAGTTGAAAAGAAACAGCTATATGAAGAATTGACTATGTCACATAATTTAAGAAATAAAATTTCTCTTAAACCAATAGAAAGAGCTTCTAGGCTGAAACTTGATGAGCCATATTAAGAAAATAGAACATAGCATAGAAGGTAAGTGGGGTCAGCAATAACTGACCCCATCCTGAAAGATGTCAATGTACTAATCCCTGGAACCTACGAATATGTTACATCACACCAAAAAGGGGAATTAAGATTCCAGATGGGATTAAGATTGCTAATCAATATACCTTAAAATAAGGAGATTATTCTGGATCATCCTGGTGGGCCCCATATAATCACAAGGGTCCTCAAAAGTGGAAGAGAGAGGGAAAAAAGGAGCTAAATATGAGAAGGATTTGATATGCTATTGCTGATTTTGAAGATGGAGGAATGGGGCCATGAGCCAAGAAATGTGTGCAGCCTCTAGAAATTAGAAAAGGGAAAGAGAAGCATTCTCCTCTAGAGCCTACAGAAAGAAATGCAGCCCTGCAAACACTTTGATTTTAGCCCACCAAAACACATCTTGGACTTCCACCCTTCAGAATCATAAAATAATTAATTTGTATTATTTTACACCACAACATTTATGATTATTTCTTACAATGGTAATAGGAAACTAAAACAGCAGGTAGTTAGAATACCAAAGTGGGAATGAGTGAAAGAAAAGTTGACAAAGTGCAGAATGTAAGAGTGAAATTAATCTGGACTGTGGGTAATCCAGACTCTAAAGGATTGTTCTTTAGTTTAAGGTACAGATAATCCAAGTAGTTTTCAAGGTTGTAGAGAATGCCATTTGAGTAATTTTTTGGTTTTATTTCTACCTTTTCTGTCCCTTGCTTCCTTCCTTCCCTCCCTCCTTCCTTCTTTCCTTCCTTTCTTTTTTTCCTTCCTTCCTCCCTCCCTCCCTCCTTCCTTCCTTTATTCCTTTCTTTTTTTTCCATTCTTTATTCACCAAGGAAACCTTTTTATTGGATAATTTAATGTTCCATGTAATTATCTCAAAAACAGTATCCTGGATGGAGAATATATATAATTCTGCTCATTAGAAGAAATACTCCCTATTAAAAAATCGGTAAATAAACATTTAACTGTAAATTACTCTGTATGACTTTAGTCAGTGAAAGTCACTTACTTTCTTATAAATGTTCATCCATGACTGAAAAACCTTAGCCCTTTAAGAGTGAGATTTTATCAGTGAAGCAGATGTGCTACAATTATGGTTTCATTTGACACATGAAATTCTGTCTGAAATATCAATCCACATTTTAGATATTTTGATGTTTCACTACTCACCATGAAATTGACCATCAATTTCTAAAATACTTTTACAATGCATTAGTTCCTCCTTATATGCACCCAGACAAGTATCTCTTTTACATATTTCAGTACTTACACATATGTTTAGCCTGTTCTATTTTTTATTACACTTTCATAGTTCTTTCTACTTTCATCTAGGTGAGTCTTAGCTTTACAATAGTATAATAATATCTGCAGAGGCAGGAAGCACTTATATTTTCAGTGTTCCCCGACATGCAGTTACAAGGATTCAGTTTTTCCTTTATAAAAAAACTCTTTATAGAATGTTATTATTAATTATATATTATTTATTGTTTCCTACATAATGCTCATCATGAACAATTCTCATTAATTTACATGTTGTACCATGCGTTCTCATTTGCCCCTAATAGAAGCAAATAATATTATACTATATACACACAAAAAATAGATTTTTTTAATACAAAATAGTTTGATCATTAGTTACTAGGTATAAATTTGGGTGGCTTTTTGTTCAGCAAGTGCTTTTTTGATTTGACTCTGTTATTTTTCTTCTTTCATGATCAAATTAACACAAATCTTACCATTGTATGATGGTGAGAAACAGAAATTGCATGCATTGTATAAATTAAAGTGTTTGCTATTATAAATTTTAATATTTAGTTGATCCTCAGTTCCTTTATTAATTTACATGTTAGATAAGTGCTTATCATTTGTCACATTGCATGGTTTAAGACTCACAGGATTTTCTTTTTCTATCTTCCCTCCTAGTACATTTACCATTGAATTGCAAAATGGTCAAAGAATGTCAAAGTTCAAGTAAAGAATCAGTCAGGACATGGCCGGGTGCAGTGGCTCATGCCTGTAATCCCAGCACTTTGGGAAGCCGAGGTGGGCGGATCATCTGAGGTCAGAAGTTCAAGACCAGCCTGGCCAACATGGTGAAACCCCATCTCTACTAAAAATACCAAAAATTGGCCGGGCATAATGGTGGGCACCTGTAATCCCAGCTACTCAGGAGGCTGAGACAGGAGAATTGCTTGAACCCGAGAGGCGGAGGTTCCAGTGAGCTGAGATGGTGCCATTGGACTACAGCCTGGGCAACAAGAGTGAAACTCCATCTCAAAAAAAAAAAAACAAAAAATCAGTCAGGACCCCTGAGAGACAGGTCAATAATGATTAATCATGAGGATCATTGTCTTAATCCTGATTTCCCCTTTATACACATTATTAAGTGCCTACATTATTCAGGCCATATTAGGTTCTGGGGATATGAGGAGGCATAGGAATCATTAACTGTGTCTTGGCTGTTGTTAATAGTACAGAAATGAACATGGGAATGCAGATATTTCTTTGAGATGTTGATTTTCTTTTCTTTGCACTCTCAGAAGTGAGATTTTTAGGCTGTATGGTAGTTCTATTTTTAATATTTTGAAGAACCTCCATACTGTTTTCCATAATGGCTGTACCACTTTACATTCCCACCAACAGTGCAAAAGGATCTCCTTTTTTCCATACAAAAGGAAGAAAATCCTACTACTTGTGACAACATGGTTGAAATTTGAAAGGTATTATGCTAGGTGAAATAAGTCAAGCAAAGAAAGAAAAATACTACATGATTTCATTTACATGTGGAATCTAAAAAAGTCACTTATAGAAACAGAGTTGAATATGGAATGTGAAAGACTGAAATGCAAGAAGGGGATCTGTGTATAGCATGGTGACTATGGTTAATAATACTGTACTGTATACTTGAAATTTTCTGAATTCTATATTTCCACAGTTCATACATGTATTGAATCATCATGTATATGTTTGAAGTATACAATTTTATTAGTCAATTATACCTCAATCAGTCTGTTAAAATAATGAAAAGAGTTATAACTGACAGTACTTTTTACTCATAAGAGTTTCCTGGTCAATCACATCATACTCTGTATGTGTCTCTCTACTTCTTCATTATGGTCTTATAGAAAGTATACTTTCTTAGAGTTTCACCTTTCTTTGGCAGAGTTTGTTTATAAATTCTGCCAAAGTACTTCTCTCTTCCTTTATCCATAATTGTTTTTCCCTTACATTCTAGCAACCTCTTCTTTCCAAAACTTCTTGGGAAATTTCTTTAAAGTCCATATTGCTTCATCTCCGTAAATGGTTTCTTTCTGTCAAATATAATTAACATCAGAGAATGTTAATTCCTCTTCTTGTTTCTTTTACAGTTTGAGAGAAAATAGTCATCAGGCCAAATCAAAATTTAGTCAGATTATTTTCTATTAGTGTGGAGCTTTGCTATGTTTATAACAAGCAACTTTCTGTATTAGGTATGTATTGCCACCTATTTATATTTTTTGCTCATTCATTTCTTCATTCATTCACTTTATGTTCATTAAATGCCAAATAATTTCCTGGCAAACTCCAGAGTTAAACTTTTTCACTCTGTCCTTTAGTATGAAAGGAGATACTTTCTCTTCTTTTGACAGTTTAAGATGACTTATTTTTAGTCAAATATGCAAATAAACTAAAATTTGCTAATATTTCTGTACTAAAAATAAACATTTTTTTTGTTTGCTGCTTTGTAGATACACCCAGAGGCATTGAGTACATTTTTTAAATAAAAAGTAAGTCTGTGGAATGTTGATATCAGCCTAGAAAATTGCCAACTATAACATGCACATCTGGTAGAAGGGGCGATTTCTCTTTAACTGTAGGCATCTCTTATTTAGTTTAAAATGAAAGTAAATTGATTAATATTTCTACATGAGAACTTGTGTTTTAGAATATTAGACTAAATTTCATGATGTTAAATTTCCTTCACTAATGCATTTGTCTTTTTCGAAGCATTCTATATACATTAATGAAATAAAAGATTGTACTCAATGAACAATGCACAAAAATATTATTTAATATTTCAAAATATGTATAAAATATTTATTTTACAAACCTTGGAATTATTGCACACAAAAATACTAAATAAAATATGGGTTTTCATATGATCACCTCAATTGATGCCACAAAAGCATTTGAAAAAATTCAGCATCGCATTATGATAAAAACCCTGAACAACATAGGCATAGAATAGACTTAACTCAAAGTAATAAAAGCCATACATGACAAACTCCCAGCCAACATCATTTGGAATAGGAAAAAGTTGAAAGAATTCCCCCTGAGAACTGGAATAAGAGAAGGATGCTCACTTTCATCACTTCTGTTCAAACAGACCTGGAAGTCTTAGCCAGAGCAATCAGAAAAGACAAATAAATAAAGGGCATCCAAATAGGGGAAAAAGGAAGTCAAACTGTTACTGTTCACTGGTGATATGATCATATATCTAGAAAACTCTAAAGTCTCATCCAAAAAGCTCTTAGATCTGATAAATGAATTCAGTGAAGTTTCAGGATATAAAATCAATGTACAGAAATCAGTAGCACTACTATATAACAAATACCAAACTGAGAATCAAATCAAGAACTCATTTCCTTTTACAACAGCTGAAAAAGCCAACAAACAAATAAACAACAATAACAACAAAACCTTAGGAATATACTTAGCCAAGGAGGGTAAATATCTCTACAAGGAAAACTACAAAACACTGCTGAAAGAAATCACAGATGACACAAACAAGTGGAAACACATTCCATGCTCATGGATGAGAAGAATCAGTATTGTGAAAATGACCATACTGCCCAGAGAAATCTACAGATTCAACGCAATTCCCATCAAAATACCACCATCATTTTTCACAGCACTCAAAAAAAATCCTAAAATTCAAATGAAAAGAAAAAGAGCCCACATAGCCAAAGCAAGACTAAGCAAAAAGAACAAATCTGGAACATCACATTACCTGACTTCAAACTATACTATAGACCATTAGTTTCATCCATTTCTCTATTATTTTTAAATATTCAATGATGCTGTCATATTATTGGAAAATAGCAAAATCTTAAACTAAAAGTTTATTTAGTTTAAAACATTTACTAATATGTGTTATATATTCACCTATATAACACACATATACAAAATTTTATGCCAGTTTTTAGAGTTATACATAATAACCATTGTATATTATGCATATGTAACAGTTATACACACATAACAATTATAGTTTATGCCAGTTATAAATGTATAACACACATATAAAATGCTTTTTTAAAGAGAAGAAAACACTGCATTTTACTTTGGATAATATTTCATCTTAAGGGAAGTACAAATATATATTTTTTACTATCATTTCGTCAAGATCCCAATTGTCTCACTATCCATATATTATCTAGTTCTTTGTTGCTAGATCATATAGTAGATCAAATAAGCATTGAAAACAGAATTAATAAATATGTTACAGAATAAAACAAGGGCATGAGCCTATGCTAGATAACCAATTAGTTATCATCCAATAATTTACAAACTTAAAAAACCATCTATGTACAAAGTTTATATTTTAGGCAATAATTTGTCTTATATATTCTACATTATGTCAATAATGATCCAAGGGAAATTATTTCATGAGACTCAGAATTTTAGTATATTCTAAAATGTTATTTAAGAAAAAAATAATGACTGCTATTTTCCACATAATGAAAAAAACAAGACAAAATATGTTCAACCTTATTTGTCCACCTGCTTAACATATGGGACAAATGGAAATCTAAATCAAATTATAATAGGTAATCCTTATTATTCATGTATTTTTTCTCCAAAAGGGCATTGTTAGGAGGCGGAATTTATAGTAAATAAGTCAATTGCAAATATTAGTTTCACAGACTTGTTTAAACTGCTAATAAACTCTATCATCTCATGAGCTCAAAAACTTTCTGATTTTAATCCAAGATTGAGCTGTGTGATGGTTGATATTACGTGTCAACTTGATTGGATTGAAGAATAAAAAGTAGTGTTCCTGGGTGTGCCTATGTGAGTGTTGCCAAAGGAGGTTAACATTTGAGTCAGTTTTTATATATATCTCAGTTTTTTTATCCATTTATCCAACAATATATGCTTAGGTTGTTTATCTTGACTACCATGAAAAATGCTGCAACAGACATGGGAATACAGCTAACTCTATGAAGTGCTGACTTTATTTCCATTGGGTATACACCTGGAAAAAGATTGCTGGTTTATATAATTATAATTATATTTATAATTATTAAAAACAATTTTATTTTTTTTGAGGATTCTCCATACTATTTTCTATAATGGCTTTAGCAACTTATATTTTTACCAACAGTGTAGAAGGGTTTCCTTTCCTCCACACTTGTAGTTTTTATAATAGCAGTCCTAATAGGTTTGATGTGATATTTCATTGTCCTTTTTATTTGTGTTTCCCTAACGATTAGTAAGGTTGAACACATTTTTGTATACCTGTTGGCCATTTGTATGTCTTTTTTGAAAAGCTGTCCATTAAGAACTTTGCTAATTTTTAATTTTTTTATTGCATGTTGTATTAGTCTGTTCTCCAACTGCTAATAAATACCTGAGACTGAGTAATTTATAAGGGAAAGAGGTTTAATTGACTCACAGTTCCACATGACTGGGGAGGCCTCAGGAAACTCATAATCATGGTGGAAGGAAAGCAAACACATCCTTCTTCAGAGGGTACCAGGAAGGAGAATGAATGAGTGCCCAGCAAAGGGGGGAGCCCCTTATAAAACCATCAGATCTCATGAGAACTAACTCACTATCACAAGAACAGGATGGGGAAAACCACCCCTATGATTCAATTACCTCCACTTCTTCCCTCCCTTGACACATGTGGATTATGGGAACTAAAATTCAAGGTGAGATTTGGGTGGGGACACAGCCAAACCATATCAAGCATGTACTCTCTTCTTATATATTTTGAGTATTAACTTTTTATGAGATATATAGTTTACAAATATTTTCTCCTGATCTTCCAGCTTTTCATTTTGTTGATGGCTTCCTTTGCTGCTGATTCCTTAGTTATATATAGACCCATTTGTTTATTTTTGCTTTTGTTTCCTGAACTTCTGATGTAATGTCCAAAATATCATTGGCAAGATCAATATCAGGGAGCTTTTTCCCTGTATCTTCTTCTATGAGTTTTATGATTTTAGTTATTGTGTTTAAGTCTTTAATCTATTTTGAGTAGATTTTTGTGTATAGTGTAAGGTAATAACTAAATTTTTTCTTTTACATGTGAATATCCAGTTTTCCCAATACCATCTACTGAAAAGACTATTATTTCTTTATTGCGTCTTGGTGACCTTGTGAAAAATTAGCTGACCATATATCCTTGGGTTTATTAACAGGCTTTCTATTCTATTCCACTGTTCTATGTCTGTTTTTATGCCAGTACCCTACTCTTTTTGTAATGTGTTGTTTGAACCTACTCACTGGACAGACTACTAAAGTTATTTTATTTTTTATATATTTATTTATTTAGTCTTGCCTTGTCACCCAGGCTGGAGTGCAATGGCACAATCTCGGCTCACTGCAATCTCTGCCTCCCAGGTTCAAGTGATTCTTCTGCCTCAGCCTCCCAAGCAACTGGGACTACAGGTACGCACCACCACATGCCGCTATTTTTTGTATGTTTAGTAGAGACAGGGTTTCACCATATTGGCCAGGCTGGTCTTGAACTCCTGACCTCGTGATCTGCCCACCTCAGCCTCCCAATGTGCTGGGATTACAGGCAAGTTAATTTTTATGAAAATATTTATATATGTACGTGATATCCAGATGGCACAAAGAGTCCTTTTTATAGGTACAATTATTACTCTCAGTGATTAGGTGCAGTTATATACCTACTTTTCTGAGGATGCTCATTAGAAAGAGATATGAGTATAACCAGTGGACAGTGCTCTCAGAGCTGCCTTCAGAATGAAACAGGTTAAAGTCAGAGACTCTCAGTCTATTTGCTGATGTATGGAAACATTGCGCTGGCTTCACTCATGCTGCTGCTATAGCATGCTCTCTTTTCTTCCCTAAATCTTTGGAAATGCTTTGCCTGTTTTTCTACACTCATCTTGGGTGATCACAGCTGTTTTCTCTTGATACAATTAGCCAAAAGCCCAAAAGAAAAAGCCAGGCACACAGCATCCAGATAAGTAAAAATGGCATAGTCTTAAAATGTATAACTTAGTGAAAAATACTTTTTTTACAGAATTAATAGCAAAACAGTTGAGCTCTCCAATAACTTTCTCTAACTTATAGTTGCTCAACAGGTGTTATCTATTTGTGGTAGATTTTGCTATGAAAGTTATATTTGTTTCATTTATATAGGGCTCCTCCATCTCTAGATACAACTAATCTAGTTCATTTTGGTGTGCTTTACATATTATAAGCTAATTTATTTGAAGTTTCTTTGAAGCACACATGAAATATTATTCAAAATGTTTTGTTTTCTGTCACTGTTTAGAACCATAAGTATTTTATGCTGTAGAGGAATGTTCTAAATTCAGCTTCAAATCAGACTTTGTGAAAGTGACTCCAGTTCAATGGCATTTACTCATTTTATTTATATTAAATATTTGGTGCATAACGTGAATATGTTCTGATGTCAATAGATATTGGAGATGCAAGAGTGACTTTGCTTTTCTGAGTGCCAAGTACTCTTGAACACACTGCCAGAGTTATCATAGCAGAGGTTTGAGAAAATGTTCTTCAATATCTGCACATTGCTGATCAAATTTTTCTAAGCCTTTTGGCTTTCTTGCTTCTAGATTTGCTTGACATACAAAGGAGGACATCTATCTTGCTAGTATACTACCTTCATGGTCTAATAACTTACATACCCCCAATGAAATAAAATCCTAGGCTGCTAATCTCCTTGTGGGCTAGCCCCGGAAAATGAACCCGGTATATATTCAACTCTATAGCAGGGTCTAATTTTTATGCCTTAAATCATGTGATGAGACTAGCAAGTCAGGCAGTTAACCAAGGACTCAACAGGCTAACCATGCTCTTCATTCATCTCCATGGGCATATGTCTCTCAGAGGGAACAATTTTTTCTGAGGTCTAAAATGCTCTGTTAGTTTCCGAATAGCTGCATTAAAACCTCTATTATCTCTTGTTCCTTTGAGCATGCAAAACATATCCTGGAGGTCAATGCCCCTGAAGGGTGACTTTTTGTCAGATAACTGCAGGATCACATGCAGTTACAAATAGTTTTAAACATCTCTGTTTAGATCATATTTGAACAACCCTTAATCTCATTCTAGACCAACAGTAGTTGAATCCATAAAAAGGTTAAATGGTCATTTAAAATTACATGTAGTAACTGATGTAGGAATATCCACATGATTCTCCTTAAATTAATAGCAAGTGCCTGCTTCAGATAACTTTGTGTAATACCATTCTTTATGACACTATATTTAAATCATTTTTATTAACATGCTTCTAAATGGAACATCATAATATTACTTACTCCCCATTTCAAAAAATTTATGAATACTCTATTATGCACATAAATTTTCCTGTACCCCAATAAGATGCAATAAATATAGTAGCACATTATTTTTCTATTGAAGAAAATGTGTTAAGGCCATAGCTGAATTAATATTTTTTCAGAATTAATATGTGAAGATATTACTCATACTTACCTAACAATGGAATAAACATGAGAAGGTGAATCAAATCAGACCAGATCTAAGACTTATCTTTCAGGAATTTTACCAGTTACTTCATTAAAAGGAATTAAAAATCAATAACAGGACCACAAGGAAGCTTGTGTGTAATATATATTATATAATTATGCTTACATTCTCTGATAGAAGGGATTGCATAGACTCTGTGTTGATCAGTTCTCAGCTTTAGGACTGAAGCACATATATCCCTAGCTTCTAGAGTTTGGCTGGCTACCTTCCTCAAAGTCATGCCTTCTTTTTAGGGGCTGCTGCATCCAATGACTGGCCAGTGCATAATAAGTTCAAGCCCCTTTGCCTCTCAGAAGGCTAACTCCATTTCAGACTGTGCTTTCCATTGAAGTTGATCTTCAACACCATTTTATATCCAGAACTGAGCATAGGATAAGGTACAAGGCACATGGTGGATGCCCAGTAAATATTTGCTGAAAGAGGTATAGTGAATGTAAATTGTACATAGAGTGGTCTTCAGGCTCTGAGTTATTTTCATTTTGACTTTCTCTAAAAGTTCATCAAAGATTTCAGATAGCTAATACAATTTGATGTGACAAGATTAATTTTGATCAATGTATTTCAGCTTTCCTCTCTTTTTGAAGGTTTAGTGAAAGTAAGATTTATTCCCTGATTATAATGATGTGGGAAAGTTTGAGCACCTGTCACACTCAGGAACATAACAACCAAATATAAAAATATGGTTAACCATCAGTTTAACTACTATTAGAATTCAAGATCAAGTTACACTTAATTAAAAGAAAAAAAGCTACATGCAAATAATTCCAGATTTGAAGTAAGTAATGAGTATTTGAAGAAAATGCTCATTCATTTTCAGGTAGTGAAATTTTAAAGTTTTGAAATTATGGCCAACTTATAATAATAATCACATTAGATTTGTGGAATAAAAGCATGTTTATGTTTTTTTTAAGAAAAGAGTTTATGGGATGAACATTTATTTTGTAAAATTATTGATGTTTCATAAAACTGCCTGTTTTGGGGTAAAAGTTTCCTAAATGTAAAAGATGAACCATCAGGTGCAACATCTGTTACTATGAATATAATGACCTTCTCATTCAGCAGGAACAAATGCAGCAACTGCAAGGTCTTCTCTCTGGAGGAAACTACCTTGGGAAAAGAAAAGGCCCTGTAGAATTACAATGAACAGACATTGCATAGATATGTTAACACATTCTTTAATACTGTGTATTGTGCATAAATGGCAAAGGTTAGAGTTTTGTTTATTTTCCTAACATTTACAGATGTCTTAAAGTAAATGGTTTTTATCATTAGATATTAAAATAATATACAGAAAATTTTATGTCAATGATATGTGTATGTTTTGTTGTTGCTTTTTTGTGGTTTTCCTTATATTGCCCACCATCACTCCAAAAATTGTTGCATATCATACCTTTCAGATACAGAGAATACTATATTCATCAGTGCAAAGTTATAGTTGCAATAATACAAAACACAAAGAATTTAGTAACTCAAACTTTGTAATTTAGGCAATGTGAAATAATTCCTGGGCTCTGTGTATATTGTGAATTCTGCGTGGAGCTTTAATTTAAAGTCTTATAGCTTGAGATAGAGACTTCTAATATTTTTGCTCATCCAGTTCTTCTTTTATTCTAAGTAAAGGTTGAGATTACATTTCCAAACTCTTTAAAAAATATACGTAGAAATGTAACTTCTCCAGCAAATGTATTTTGAGCAGAAGTAATACACATCATTTCCTTAACAAAGCACGTAGTTGATGGCTTGAGACCCTGCAATATTTTTTTTCCTGTTGCCTTGCTGCAGACATCACATATTGTAGATAGTGCAGCAGCAGGCTATGGATCCTCCATCAGCCTAGAATTCTGAGGAGCCATGTGGAGGATGGTGTTCCTAGAAAGAATCTCAGGCCCACAAAAGACAAGTGAAGAATTAATTCTTGTTAAGTCACTGGGATTTTCTGACTGTGGGTTGCCACATTATAATCTATTGTGTTCTGACTTTTGCATTTGTGAAAACAACAAACTGGGACTCATGGTCTGAAGGCATAATATAGGCATAAATAGCCAAATAATCATTAAATGTAGGTAACCCATATGATAATGAATTAACCCAACTGATACTCGTTTTCCTATTTGTAATATACCTGAAATACAGGTTGGTGCAAAACTAATTGTGGTTTTCACCATTAAAAGTAATGGCAAAAACCACAATTACTTTTGCACTAATTTAATATAAACTCTGTTTATGCTCAAAGGAGTTAATTGGAGTAAATGTGTTCTAGAAAGCTGAGACAGAAATACTGGTTGATTTGTTGCTATTGCTGAAGTGGTAGAATTAAAGAGAGTGTCATATATAAAAGACAAACTTTCTCAAACTATTCTAAGAATCATGAGTCAACTACGAGTAAAAATGTGTTTTGGTAATATTATATGGTATTTGACTTGATGTCTGATAGGATTTGGCTGTGTCCCCACTCAAATCTCATTTTGAATTGTAACTGCCACAATTCCCACGTGTTGTGGGAGAAACTCAGTGGGAGGTAATTGAATCACAGGGGTGGATCTTTCCCGTGCTGTCCTCGTGATAGTGAATAAGTCTCATGAAATCTGATAGTTTTAAAAATGGGAGTTTCCATGCACAAGCTCTCTCTCTTTGTCTGCTCCCATCCATGTAGTATGTGACTTGCTCCTTCTACCTTCCGCCATGATTGTGAGACCTCCCCAGCCACAAGGTGTAAAAGTAACTGCACCAACCTAGTAACATGTATTTCAGGTATATTACAAATAGGAACATTGGATATCATATGGGTTAATTCATTATCATATGGGTTACCTACATTTAATGATTGTTTGGCTATTTACGCCTATATTATGCCTTCAGACCATGAGTCTCAGTGAGTCTCAGTGTGTTGGTTTCACAAATGTAAAGGTCAGAACACAATAGATTATGATGTGGCAACCTACAGTCTGAAAATCCCAGTGACTTAAGTTCACTAAAACTCTTTTCCTTCCCAGTCTTGGGTACATCTTTATTAGCAGCATGAAAATAGACTAATACAGTAAATTGGTACTAGTAGAGTGGGGTGCTGCTGAAAAGATACCCAAAAAAGTGGAAGTGACTTTGGAACTGGGTAACAGGAAGTGGTTGGGAAAGTTGGAGGGCTCAGAAGACAGGAAAATGTGACAAAATTTGGATCTTCCTAGAGACTTGAATGATTTTGCCCAAAATGTTGATAGTGATAGGGACATTAAAATTCAGGCTGAGGAGGCCTCAGATGGAAATGAGGAAATTGTTTGAAACTGGAGCAAAGGCAACTCTTATTATATTTTAGCTAAGAGACTGGTGGTGTTTTGTCCCTGCCATAGAGATCTGTGGAACTCTGAACTTGAGAGAGATGATTTAGGTATCTGGTGGAAGAAATTTCTAAGCAGCAAAGCATTCAAGAGGTGACTTGTGTGCTATTAAACACATTCAGTTTTATAAGGGAAGTAGAGCATAAAAGTTTGGAAAATTTGCAGCCTGACAGTGTGATAGAAAAGAAAATCCCATTTTCTGAGGAGAAATCCAAGCCAGCTGCAGAAATTTGCATAAATAATGAGTAGACAAATGTTAATCCCCAAGAAAATGGGAAAAATGTCTCCAGAGCATGTCGGAGGTCTTCATGGCAGCCCCTCTCATCACAGACCCAGAGACCTAGGAGGAAAATGTGGTTTTGTGGGCCAGGACAAAGGTCCCTGTGCTGTGTGCAGCCTAGGTAGTTGGTGCCCTGAGTCCCAGCCACTCTAGCCATGGCTGAAAGAGGCCAATGTAGAGCTTGGGCTGTGGCTTCAGAGGGTGCAATTCCCAAACCTTGGCAGCTTTCATGTGGTGTTGAGCCTGCGAATGCAGAGAAGGCAAGAATTGGGGTTTGGGGACCTCCACCTAGATTTCAGAAGATGTATGGAAACGCCTGAATATCCAGGCAGAAGTTTGCTGCAGGGTTGGGGCCCTTATGGAGAATCTCTGCTAGGGCAGCACAGAAGGGTAATGTGGGGTTGGAGCCCTCACACAGAGTCCCTACTGGGGCACCAGCTAGTGAAGCTGTGAGAAGAGGGCCACCATTCTCCAGATCCTAGAATGGTAGATCCACTGAGATCTCTCACTGTGCACTGAAAAAGCTTCAGATACTCAGTGCCAGCTCACGAAATGAGGCAGGAGGGGGGATTATATCCTGCAAAGCCACAGGAGCAGAGCTGCCACAACCATGGGAACCCACTGCTTGCATCAGCGTGACCTGGATGTGAGACATGGAGTCAAAGGAGATCATTTGGGAGCTTTAAGATTTGACTGCCCTGCTGAATTTTGGACTTGTGTGAAACCCTGTAGCCCCTTTGTTTGGCCAGTTTCTCCCATTTGGAATAGCTGTATTTACCCAATACCTGTACCCCCACTGTATCTAGGAAGTAATTCACTTGCTTTTGATTTTACAGGCTCATAAGTGGAATGGACTTATTTGTCTGAGATGAGTCTTTGGACTGTCAACTCTAGGGTTAATGCTGAAATGAGTTAAGACTTTGGGGGAATGTGGGAAGGCATGACTGGTTTTGAAATAGGATGAAATGAGATTTGGGAGGGGCCAGGAGTGGAATGATATGGTTTGGCTGTGTCCCCACCCAAATCTCATCTTGAATTGTAACTCGCACAATTCCCACGTGTCATGGGAGGAACCTGGTGGGAGGTAATTGAATCATGGGGCAGGTTTTTCCATGTTGTTCTCATGATAGTGAATAAGTCCCTTGAGATCTGATGGCTTTAAAAATGGGAATTTCCCTGCACAAGCTCTCTCTCTTTGCCTGCCACCATTCACATAAGATGTGACTTGCTCCTCCTTGCCTTCCACTATGATGGTGAGGCCTCCCCAGCCATGTGGAACTGTAAGTCCATTAAACCTCTTTTTCTTCCCAGTCTTGGGTATGTTTTTATCAGCAGTGTGAAAATGGACTAATACAATATCCAAAGACTACCTGAATCTCATCAGACATTTGCTTCTTTTTCTGTAAAATTTCTGAGTGAGATACACAAAAAAGGTCCAATAACATAATGGGAGAAAATGCTGTCTCATTTTTAGATGGGCCCGTAACCTGATACTCAACTTCAAGGCTCTGGTAATACTGGATCTGAACAAATTCCTTCCTCCGAAAGATCAGTTAGGGTCTATTATCTCCTTATATATGTCACGATTCTGCCAAAAAACAAAACCAACAGGAGAAAAAACTGTGCACAAACACACACACACACATATATATATACACACACACATATATATATATGTGTATGTATATATATGCACACACACACAGCCATGTGCTATATGTGACATTTTGGTCAATGAAAGACCACCTATATTGCAGTGGTCCCATAAGATTATAATGGAGCTGAAAAATTCATTTCGTCTAGTGACATCATAGCCATTTAAAGTTATAGCAAAACTCATTACTTACATGTTTGTGGTGATACTTGTGTAAAAAAACCTACTGCACTACCGGTCATTGAAAAAGTGTAATGTCCTAGGTCTTCACATTTACTCACTTCTCTCTCAGTGACACCCAGAAAGTTCCATGCCTGAAAAGGGCCCTTTACAGATGTACAATTTTTTATCTTTTATATTGTATTTTTACTACATCTTGTTTAAGTTTAGACAGATTTGGATACACAAATACCATTGTATTATAACTGCATAGAATATTTAGTAAAGAACAGCAACATGTTGTACAGGTTTGTAGCTCAGAAGCAATAGTCTCTACCACATAGCCTAGGTGTGTAGCAGGCAATAACATTTAAGTTTGTGTAAGTACACTGTAAGATGTATGCACAATGATGAAAACACCTAAAGACATATTTCTTAGAACAAATACTTAGAGTTAAGCAAAAAATGACTCTGTGTGTTTGTGTGGGTATACATGGCAGGAAGACAGGAGTTAACGCTTCAATCTTGAGGCAGAATTTCTTCTTCTCCAAGAAGCCTCAGTTTTTGTCCTTATGGCCTTTAACTGACTGAATGAGCCTTACACACATTATTGAGTGTAATGTCCTTTTCTTAAAGTTAACTAGTTGTAGCTGTTACCTACATCTACAGAACACCTTCACAGTGACATATAGATTATTGTTAAATTAAATAGCTTGGTATTATGCCCTGTCCAAATCAGCACATAATATGAAGCATCTCAGCTTTCTCGAAGCCAATATCTAAATCTTAGAACTTATCGCCTATAATCAGATGCTTGGTGTAAGAACCTGAAGCAATCATTAATTTAAGAATGCTTAAAAAGAGAGAGAGGTCAGCATGGTTAAGCTGTTCCTGGGGTTGGACCTGCAGGAAAGATGAAAGAGAATCCCAAAGACAACTATAAACAAAAACACAATTTTTGCAAGCACAATATGCTGTCTACTCACAAATGTAGCACTTTTTATATTTTGCAAATTAGCCAAGACGATAGCAATCCATCCTTAGAGGGAAGAAAGTAGACAGAGAGTTGGACATGTGTGGAGGCTTTTCTTCTCTCTCCACAAGCTCTTGGGTAAATTTACTTAAAAAATGGCAGCTCTATTAGAGGCTGTTGGTGCTCTCTCCAAATCCTCCTAGCATTCATCATTCCTAATCATGCCAGCAGTTTTCTATGGAAGTGCCAGGCAGTTAACATCACTGGGAACAGCTTTCTATTAATGATGGATAGACGCTGATGAATAAATCCCTCAGGTTTCTCATCGCTATGTGGTACAACTTTTTGGTATTCTGCCCAATCTACAGAGATCCACAGTGGGATTGAGCCTAAATTGCCCAGTGATAACTCTCTCACTACTATATTCTGTAATTTTTTTTAATTTTTGTGTCACTTACCCACTTGTTTTTTTTTTTTCTTTTTCTTTTTCTTTTTTTTTTTTCCTTCCTGGGATCACTTAGCAAATAAATCACTTTCAGTTGGAACCCTTGACTTGGACTGCTTTGAGAGAGAGAGGGTGGGTGGAACCTAAAACTAAGACAAATACATATAAGTTGCTTACATAATCTTATTTAAAACTTTAAAAGCGATACAATAAAAAACTGAATCTCTGTATAATTCAGCGTAATCTAAATTTATGTAACCACAGGGGACTTTTTAATAGTGTGTTTATTTATATACTGGCCAACTGGAGTTCTATTAAACTTTGAGAAATGCTGACCTAGAAAAATAATTGAGTATATTTATCCGTTGTATTGGTCTGTTTTCATGCTGCTGATAAAGACATACCCAAGACTGGGCATTTTACAAAAGAAGCAAGTTTAATGGACTTACAGTTCCAACTGGCTGGGGAGGCCTCATAATCATGGCAGAAGGTTAAAGGCATATCTCATATGGTGGCAGATAAGAAAAGAAAGCTTGTGCTGAAAAACTCCCATTTTTAAGACCATCAGATCTCATGAGACCTATTCACTATCACAGCATGGAAAAGACCCACCCCCATGATTCAATTACCTCCCACTGAGTCCCTCCCACAACACCTGGGAATTCAAGATGAAATTTGGGTAGGGACACAACCAAACCGTATCATTCATGATTCTTAACTGTTGTGATGATTATTTCATCAAAAAGATACATATTTAACACTCCATTTACTGATATAATTTTCAAAATTGTAGAGTTTCTGAATTGATGGATTTATTTATATCTAATGTTTCTCTCGTGAAAGTGTTTGTAGGCAAACAGGGAAGAGAGACATGATGGTGGATAGGAGACATGGCTAACATACAGCTTCCACTTGGACAGACAGAACAGTATGTGGAGACTCACAGCACGATATTCTCCAACAGCTACCACAGGAATGTACCATGAAAACTAACAAAAAATTCACAGATCCTTTGAAAGAAGTGACATGCCACAGAAAAATCCACAAAACAGGCAAAAACTGTGAGTTCCCATGGTGTGAGAGGGGGAAAATCTGCTTCTGAACCCACATTACCACTGGGATATCTGAAAATCCAGATCACAGGAGAAGGATTTAACTTTACCTAAAACTGAAAAAAATTTAGGGAGTCACATGAAACATAAAAGTAGAAGAAGCAGCAGGAAGAGTCTTGCAGGCACTCCCAGTCTTCAGCTTGAACCCAGGGAGGCTATTCCTGACTATATCTCACAGGGGCCCTCAGGGAAGGCAACAAGTGGAATTGGGGAGAGGTTGTGGGATAAAGAAAGCTTCCAACTGAAATTGGTAGTAGTTTCCACTGGACACAAATTTTCCTGAGCAGAGTCCAGGACATGAGCAGAAGCTGCTGCAGAGATGAGCACAGGAGCCACCACTAATGGAGTGACCAGATGGGGAGGGGTGAGGTCCATAAGCCATGTTTGGTTTCTCAGCAGGGAAGCTCACAGCCTGGGGCAAGGTCTGAGCAGGACACTCCCCAGCTGTGTGAGAACTTGGTGAGGCCTCTTGCTACCAGCTATCTTCCCATTCCCTGGTGAACTATATGACACAGCAGAGGCAGCCAAGATCCTCTCTTGAACATAACCCCATTGGCTTGAGAACCACCTCCCACATCCCTCACAGTGGCTTTGCAAACCAGCAAACCCCGCCACAAAAAGTCTGAGTCCAGACCAGCCTAACCCTGCCCCTACCTGATGGTATTTCTCTACCTGCCCTGGTAGCTGAATACAAACATATAAGCTCTTGGGGGCTTTAAGGCCCCACCTATCACCTGAGAAACCAAAAT
Organism: Homo sapiens; assembly: GCF_000001405.40. NCBI lineage: Eukaryota > Metazoa > Chordata > Mammalia > Primates > Hominidae > Homo > Homo sapiens. The sequence goes on along the minus strand of NC_000006.12, from coordinate 68,255,698 downwards.
ACTTACCCTGGCCAACTTAGGGCAAGCTTGGCGTTATCCCCCCAACCCCCGCCACTACTACCACAGCTAGTGCTCTCTTGAAAGTGTCACCTCCTGGCTGGAAGCCCACCAATGCAGGCCTTTGCAGCAACTCATGACAGAATATCCATGATCTCAGGAAGGAGAAGACAATACCCAATTCCACTGGCTGCAACATCTTGGCTAACCAGAGGTTCTGAGTGTGTCCATGTGACAACTTCACTGCTAGCACAACCAGCATTCAAGAAAACCAGCACGCTAAACATACCTACAACCAAGGACTGTCACAGAGTCTACCCCGCTCCCCTGTCACCTCCACCAGAGCAAGTGCTGATATCCATGGCTGGAAGACTTGAACAAAGGTCACATCACAAGACTCTTTGCAGACACTCTCTCACAGCAGGCTGTAGCCTAGTAGCCCCACTGGGTGGCTAGACCCAGAAGAGATCTAACAATCACTACCGTTCAGCTCTCAGAATGCCCCATCCCTAAAGAAAGGGGAAGAGCACCACATCAAGGAATCAGCCCATGGGATGAGAGCATCTGAACAGCAGGCCTTGAGTTTCAGATCTCTCCACTGAAATAGTCTACCCAGATGAGAATGAACCAGAAAAGTAATTCTAATATTATGACAAAAAAGGATTCTATAACACCTCCAAAAGAGGTGTATTCTATAACACCTCACACCAGCTCCCGGCAATAGATCCAAACCAAAAAGAAGTCTCTGAATTGCCAGAAAAAGAATTCAGAAGGCTGATTATTAAACTTCTTAAGGAGATACCAGAGAAAGGTGAAACACAACTTAAAGAAATTTAAAAAAAATATATAGGATATGGATGAAAAGTTCTCCAGAGAAATAGATATCATAAGGAGAAAACAATCATACTTTCATTTCATACATAGAAATGAAAGACACACTTACAGAAATACAAAATGCAGTGAAAAGTGTCAAGAATTGACTAGAACAAATAGAAGAAAGAAGTTCAGAGCTTGAAGACAAGGCTTCAAATAACCCAATCAGACAGAAGAAGAAAAAAAAAAAAAAATGAAGCCTCCTAGAAATCCGGGATTATGTTAAACAGCCAAACATAAAAATAACTGGTGTTACTGAGAAAGAAGAGAAATCTAATAAAAGTCTGGGAACCCTATTTGATGGAATAATTGTGGGAAACTTTCTTGACCTTGCTAGATATCTAGACATCCAAATACGAAAAGTTCAAAGAACACTTGGGAAATTCATCACAAAAAAAGATCATCACCTAGGCACATAGTCATCAGGTTATCTAAAGTCAAGACAAAGGAAAGAATCTTAAGAGCTGTGAGGCAAAAACATCAGATAGCCTACAAAGGAAAATGTATCAGATTAACAGTAGATTTCTCAGCAGAAATCTTACAAGCTAGAAGGTATTGAGGTCTCATATTTAGCCTTGTGGAACAAAATAATTATCAGCTAAGAATTTTGTATCCAGCAAAACTAAGCTACATAGATAAAGGGAAGATACAGTTTTTTTTTTCAGACAAACAAATGCTGACAGAATTTGCCACTGTCAAACCAGCACTATGAGAAATGCTAAAAGGAGCTCTAATTCTTGAAACAAAATCTCAAAATACACCAAAATAGAACCTGTGCAAAAATAAATCTCACAGGGCCTATAAAACAATAATACAATTATTTTTAAAAGGGTATTAAGGCAAGAACTAGCATGACGAGTAGAACAGTACCTCACATGTCAATAGTAATATTGACAGTAAATGCCCTAAATGCTCAACTTAATTGATACAGAATGGCAGAATGGATTAAAACTCACCGACCAAGTATCTGGTATCTTCAAGAGACTCACCTAATACATAAGGACTTCCATAAACATAAGGCAAAGGGGTCAAAAATGATATTCCATGCAAATGGAAACCAAGAGTTAGCAGGAGTAGCTACAGTTATATCAGACAAAACAAACTTTAAACCAACAATAGAAAAAAAAAGAGACAAAGTGGAACATTATATAACAATAAAAGGATTAGTCCAACAGGAAAATATCACAATCCTAAATATGTATGTATCTAACACTGGAGCTCCTAAATTTATAAAACAATTATTACCAGACAAGAATGAGATAGACGCAGCACAATAATTGTGTGGGACTTCAATACTCCACTGATGGCACTAGACAGGTCATCAAGACATAAAGTCAACAAAGAAACAATACATTTAAACTATACCCTAGAACAAATGGACTTAACAGATACTTACAGAATATTCTACCCAACAAATGCAGAATATACCTTCTTTGGTCAGCACATAGAATATTCTTCAAGATAGACCATATGATCTGTCACAAAAAAACTCAATGAATGTAAGAAAATAGAAATTATATCAAGTGCCCTCTCAGACCAAAGTGGAATAAAACCAGAAATTAACTCCAAAAACAATCCTTGAAACTTTAGAAATATGTGAAAATTGAATAATCTGCTCTCGAATGATCTTTGGGTCAACAATGAAATCAAGAGAGAAATTTAAAGTCTTTGAGCTGAACAATAACAGTGAACCAACTTATCAAAACCCCTGGGATACAGCAAAAGTGCTACCAAGAGGAAAGTTCACAGCATTAAATACCTACATCACAAAGTCTGAAAGAGCACAAATAGACAATCTAACTTCACACCTCAAGGAATTATAGAAACAAGAAATAAAAAAACAAACCCAAACCCAGCAGAAGAAAAGAAATAACAAAGATCAGGGCAGAACTAAATGAAATTGAAACAAAAAATACCAAAGATATCTGAAACAAAAAGCTGGTTCTTTAAAAAAGAGGAAGTCATACTGCCGCTGTTTTCTGATGATATAATCTTATACCTAAAAAACCCTAACATCTCATCCGAAAAGGTGCCTGATCTGATAAATGAATTCAGTAAAGTTTCAGGATACAAAATCAATGTACACAAATTAGTAGCACTGCTATACACCCACAATAACCAAGTTAAGAAACAAATCAAGAACTCAATCCCTTTTAAGACAGCTATAAGAGTAAAATAAAATACCTAGGAATATATCTAACCAAGGAGGTGAAAGATCTCTACAAGGAAAACTACAAAACACTGCTGAAAGAAATCATTGATGACACAAAGAAATGGAAACATCTCCCATGCTCATGGATGGGTAGAATCAATATTGTGAAAATGATTATACTGCCAAAAGCAATCTACAGATCCAATGCAATTCCCATCAAAGTACCATCATCATTCTTCATAGAACTAGAAAAAGTATTTCTAAAATTTATATGGAACAAAAAACAAAAGCCCACATAGTCAAAGCAATGCTAAGTAAAAAGAACAAATCTGGAGGCATCACATTATCTGACTTCAAACTATACTACGAGGCTATAGTTACCAAAACAGCATGACACTGGTATAAAAATAGGCATGTAGATAAATGGTATAAAAAATAGGCACATAGACCAACTCTATTATGTGGTAGAGAACCCAGAAATAAAGCCAAATACTTACAGCCAACTGATCTTTGACAAAGCATACTAAAACATAAAGTCAGGAAAGGACACCCTATTCAACAAATGGTGCTGGGATAATTATTTGTTCTTCTACAGGTGCAAGTCACATGTAGAAGGACAAAATTGTATCCTCTTCTCTCATGTTATACAAAAATCAACTCAAGATGGACCAAAGGCTTCAATCTAAGATCTGAAACCATAAAAATTCTAAAAGATAGCATTGCAAAAACTCTTCTAGATATTGGCTTAGGCAAAGATTTCATGACCAAGAACCCAAAAGCAAATGCAGCAAAAAAAAAACAGAAATAAATAGATGGAATCTAATTAAACTAAAAAGCTTCTGCATAGCAAAATAAATAATCAGCAGAGTAAGCAGACAACCCACAGAATGGGAGTAGATATCTGCAAACTGTGCATCCAACAAAGGACTAATATTAAGAATCTACAAGGAGCTCAAACAAATCAGCAAGAAAAAAATAATAATTTCATCAAAAAGTGGACAAAGGACATGAATAGACAATTCTCAAAAGAAGATATACAAATGGCCAAAAATCGTACAAAAAAATCCTCAACATCACTAATTAGCAGGGAAATGTAAGTTAAAATCGCAATAATATACTACTTTACTCCTGCAAGAATGACCATAATGAGAAAATAAAAAATAATAGCTGTTGGCACGGATGTGGTGAAAAGGGAACACTTTTACACTGTTGGTGGGAATGTCAACTAATACAACCACTATTTAAAACAGTATGGAGGTTCCTTAAAGAATTAAAATCAGAACTACCATTTGATCTCCTACTACTGGGTATTTACCTAAAGGAAAAGAAGTCATATGAAAAAGGCACTTGCACATGCATGTTTATAGCAGCACAATTTGTGATTGCAAAAATATGGAACCAGCCTAAATGCCCATTAACCAATGAATAGATAAAGAAAATGTGGTATATCTACAGCATGGAATACTACTCAGTCATAAAAAAAATGATATAATGGCATTTGCAGCAACCATGATGGAGGTGAAGATTATTATTCTAAGTGAAATGACTCAGAATTGGAAAATCAAATATCATATACTCCCACTTATAAGTTGGAGCTAAGCCATGAGAACACAAAGGCGTAAGAATGTTTTTTCCTTCAGGTAGATACCCAGTAGTAATATTGCTGGGTTAAATGGTGGTTCAACTTTTAGTTTTTTCAGGAATCTCCATACTGTTTTTGAGAGTGGTTATACTAGTTTACACTTCCATCACAAGTGTAAAGTGTTGCCTTTTCACCACATCCATGCCAACATTTATTACTTTTTACTCTCCCATTATGGCCATTCTTGCAGGAGTAAGGTAGTACCTCATTGTGGTTTTAATTTGCATTTCCTTGATGATATAAGGACTTTGGGGACTCAGGCAGAGGGGTGGAAGCGGGGTGAGGGATAAAAGACTATACAATGGGAACAATGTACACTCCTTGGGTTACGAGTGCACCAAAATCTTACACCTTAACTACTAAAGAACTTATTCATGTAACCCAAAACCCCCTGTTTCCCAAAATATTTTGAAATTAAAAAAAGAAAGAATCTGTAGGCAAGATACAACATGGTGAAGCTCTAAAATTAAAACATATCAGATATTTTAATGCATAAACAAAATAATTATGTGGCAAAAATACTGTAAAGAAGTCAAAAGACAAATTGGAAAAAATATTTACAAGTCACTATTCAAAGATATAATTTTCTTTAGATAAAACTATTATATTTGTGGATGAAAAGGTTAATATTAAAAAAATAAGATGAGCAAAGAATAAGACAATTTATTAAAAAAACTTCTAAAATATGAAAAGGTGTTCAACTTTATCACAACTACATACACACAAACTATAACCACATTTGGATGCTATTTTCTCCTATGTGAATGATTAAAACAATAATTTAATACATCACAGTATGGCCATACATTCCTTATGAAAACGTAAACTGGAAGAACCCCATTGGAAGATAATTTGGCAATATCTATAAAATTACATTTCCAGGAATGCATGTTACAAAGAAACTCACGTTTGAAAAAAATCAATGTATAGGAATATTTATTGTACTATCCATAGAGGACTTGGTAAGTTAATAATTATACAATTAGCATTTTCTTGACCCCATTATATAGCAAATATAGAAGGGTGAGGGAGGAAGACAGAATGAGAAATGTGAATATTACATGACTATATTTCTACAATGAGAATTATTCATGGAACTTAAATTCACTGAGAACCAGCTACAACTGGACACCAGGCCCTGTGCTAGGTGGGAGAAGATTCAGATAATTGACAGGAAAATCTGCTCTGAAGATCTCAAGGTCAATGTCAACTCCCACATGGGAAGACGATCCCGGAGATTAAACAATTTTTCACACCCTTTAATTCAAGTGAGCACAATTGATTGAGGTTTTTCTATATGAAACAGATTGTATTATGCACTGAAAGGATAATAGTTCATAAAAGGTACAGACTAAAATTTATTTCATTGACAGAAATCTTTGCAAAACAAATGGCCTGGGGTTAGCCAATTTCGAAATATCACTGTATCTCTTTCAGTTGGAGACATTTTCCTCAGTGAGCTGCAAATTTACAAACTATTTTTGATGCAGATAGTATTAGCAAAAGGAAGTCTCAGAACTGATTCCTAAAATGGTGTGACTTCTTACCAGAACAAAGTATTCTGTAACAACCACATAACACATTTTAAAGAGAAATTTCAAGCTTTGTAATACCACAGAGCCACCCCTTTGTCTTATTTTCTTCTTCAACCATCACCACAACCTCAGCCATGTGTCCTTTCTTAGTTTCTACAACACTTTCTCGTTTTTCTTTGTTGTTGTTTTCTTCCATCCTTATACTATCACCAAGAAATTCTTAAAAGGAGAATCCAGCACATTATGTTTAGCACCCTAAGTCTGAATTTTTTTTCATCAGTCATTGAACATGATTGCTACCTATCTAGATTCCAGTGGCCTCAGGTCTAGTTACTGTGCTTGTACTCTTTTCTTCTCCCTGCTTCCACAGTTTGACCTGTGCAGTCCTTCTGATGCCTTGTTACATGCAAATCAGATTCTCCGCACAGTGATTCCTTTCTCTTCTAAGACCTTCAGGCTGACATCTGTAAACACCATTCCAAGAATTATCTTCTGGATGGGGGTCTCCTACCGTAAATGATATTCCTCCTACTAGGCATTCTTTTCTTGAAAACCAGCAACTAAACATGGGGATCTTCTAATCCAGTTTATATATTCAGTTTTTTACTAGGTATTTTAAGAATGCATGTAAGAATATTTATGTATTTGCTTTATTTTTCCCATCAAAAACCTTGTTTGCATGTCAGCTGTAAAATATATATGCTATTTTGGAATTTTAAATTTGTGCAAAGAACATTTGTTTGATCACCAGTAAAGTTATAATAACTTTATAAAAAACACACCCTCTTGTTCATTTTTTGTAATGTGACTTTTTTTATAAACTAGCAATTTTAAGGTATAGTTTCCTTTGCAGTTTCATTGTAGTTTCCTAAACTAAATATAATAGTTTAATCAAGTATGAAGATACCAAAACTTGAGATGATTAACAGCATTATTATTGAATATTTTCTACTGGACATATTTCCAATTTTTATAATTATACAAATTTTGATTGGCCAAAAGAGGAAATTTCTAATTGCCAAGCTATATTGTCTGTGTTGGTATTAAATTCAATACAAGCCACAGAAATTTTAAAAGCACACTGGAATACTGAAACTATTATTCAAAGTCATTATGGGTGCAACTAACAAAAAAGCTGTGCAAAGCATTGAAGTTAATGAAACGATTCAATGAGCAAAATAAATACTAGGCAGAAAGCTTCCCTAGACTGTGGAAAGTTAAGAAACTGATTTGGAAGAGTAAACAAATGCAAGTTAAGATAGAAAATAATAGAACAAATTCACTGTGTCAAACTGAATAGAATATTTCAGCTAACAACATTGTATTCCTCAAATCTATTCATAGCGGATAGAAGACAAGAGAAAATTGGCTCTCTAAAGTGACAGGGAAGAATTGTATCTTGTGGCTAAGAAAAAAGAGGTTTGCTAAGCAGTTTATTTTTTTGCTGCCATCAGTACAGAGATAGGTCCAGATTTCTCATTCTTTGTTATGCCAACTGTCTAGAATCATTAGTACCACTTCCAATCAGAGCTGACTACAGTGACTCACTCCGACCCTTAACTGACTTCTCAGGAAATATACAGACAACTAAGGTACTGCCCACTTATAATCAGTAGGTGTCTTTACTGTGTTCTTGATGAAATGTGAAAACAGAACAATATGTTTTATTCTAGTTAATAAACCTAGCACAAGTTTTTAATAGGCGGTTTTGATTCTCGCAAATGCCAAACTATCTATCTGAACATTATCATCCCAGAATGGTACAGTGTCAGGTAAAAGCGAGGATACAATGAAGTTTATTTGACCAAACTCTAGTCTGATAATTTGATGTAAATGCTAAAACGCAAATGCCTGGGACAACCCTTAGATATTCTGCACTTCTATGTTTAGGTGCGCCATATAAATTTACCTTTTCAAAAGCTTTCGGGTTGTGTTGATGCTAGCAGTCTGAGCATCACACAGATTAGTGCTAGAGAGCTTTCAATGTGTACACTACCTGTGTAAGTGATGACTGCCTACTTATTCCCAGATCCATTTCCTTTCCTCTGCTCTAGTCTGTAACATAGGAAACCACATTTATCAGGCCCTTTGGGTTCTAGGTAAGATTCTTTAGTGAGAGGTCTTCTGGTTGTATAATCACTTCTTTTTTTGCTTTTCTAGCCCTGGGGTGGGTAGTGGCTGTTGCTAACCTCTGAATTGCCTCACCATCCTCTGTTGGACTTTACAGCTATTCCATCACAAATGTAGCCAATTCCCTGTGTCAAGATCTCTTTATGAAAGACCAAAAATTGCTTCTCTTTCCTGGATGGACCCTGAATGAAAATGTGTATTACTTTGCCTCATGAAATCAGCATATTCATAGATGCTTCCGGATGAGCAAACCAGAAAGTTGACAAGAGTGAGACATAGGCATTGGACTAAACAAAACTGTGGGAACTTGCTTGTATACCATTTCCAATAGATAAATTGTAAAATTGTTCCCATGTTAGAATACCTCTTAAGTATAAGGGATTAGATTCCCTTTTCTGGAAATAAATTTAAATAGTGATAAATAAGTCATTCTATAAATTCACGAAATCAGCTAATTTCATTGAAGAATAGGAAGGATGCTGGACACGGCTTTCAGCTTCTTATCTAGGCCAAGAAGAGGTTGAAACATGTAACTTCAATAAATCACTATTTGTGGACGTTAAAAAGGTATGATATTGTCTTTGGTCTAGCTAAATGTGGTCAGATAATAAGTCCCTTCAGTTTAAACAAGTTATACTACTAGAGAATAGAAACCAGTTGAAGGTCTAAAATCTCTAATACTCCCCCACAGTACCTTCCTATGTTGCTCTTAGCATATTGTTTAGGTCAGGATCATACAAAACATTCTTAATATTTGGTGATAAGGCTAATTACTTTTAAAAATTTTTGTCATTTTTAGGTATCAGATACAGAGATACATAAGATATCAAAACCCAAGACAGCTGGTTTGCAAACCACTGATTTAAATTATTGCTAAGTGGTTTCCCATAAGGAAGTAATTTTTGAGCCTATGAAAATTTTTATGTTTGGTTGGGAGTGGGAGGTGAAGGAAGAATATATGAGAAATTCTTTGCTTACCAGGCTCTGAAACTATTTCAGTTATATACTGGAATAAAGATTTGTTACTAAATATGTTAAGTTTATGCTTCAAAAGGAAAATCAAATGGAATAAAACAAAGTAACAATTACAGTCAACTTTGAAGTATTGCTGTGTGGAATATATAAATTGTACAGAAAACTATTTTGATATTGTTTTGATACCTGTAAGATTTGATAACTGAAAATAATACATTTATTTTCTTTAAATGCTTAAAATGTGTAAGGTATTTCCTAAGTGCTTTACATATTTTAGTTTATTTAAGAGTCAAAAAAACCCTATATGTTAAGTACTGTTATTATCTCCATTTTATAGCTGAGGCATCTGAGACTAGAGAAATTCAATAATTGCCCAAGACACAAAGCTCATAAGTGACAGAGCCAAGATTTGTACCAGGACAGACTGCCTCCAGAGTCTATAATCTTAACCACTAGCATATGTTCTCTCTTCTTATACTGTAATACCATGATACCCTTTGCACATTCTATGCAGAGAATCTAGGCTCAAAAAAGTTAACAGAGTCGTGCTGAGCAGGAATAGAGTTCTGAAGAAGCTTTAAAAAGGAAGAAGTTTCTTATATGTCTAGAAAATAAGAGTTGGAAGCTTTGAATCCCAGCATTTTTTAGACTTTTCCCTCTGTTTGATTCAAGTATAATATGTGTGTGTGTGTGTGTGTGTGTGTGTGTGTGTGTGTGTAATATTTGCTGTGTATTTAGGGATCAAAGTGTTTACTTCATATTTCTAAGCATATGGTTGCTAAGTGGAAACAAAATGGGCATTTGAAAACTGTAGAGAAGTGATTCAAATTGAGCTTTAGAAATCTGTTTTCATCCCTCTCTGGTGGTAAAAGTTTGATGTGGGAAGCATAGGATCTGGTAGCTTTATGGATGCTATGTAGAGATGGCTGCTCCACGGTAAAAAGAATCACAGACAACATGTTAGAAAGCAGAGAAATAAGGGGATCTGCCTGTGTAGGGAAAGGAGGAGAAGGTAGAGCGAGAATCTTAGCAGTGTTCTAATTCCTAGGTCCAATTGTTCCATAGATTTTTGCTTTTCCCACAGTTACGTAAGCTTTAGTATACTCTTTTTTTTAATCAAACCTAGTTTGAAATTTTTGTTTCTGCTACTTGTGACCAAAAATACTTACTGAAAGTGTAAATATGCCTTTAATATTATGCATAAATGGTCTTCATTGAGGATCGGGCAAAATCTTCTCAGAATTTGATTCAGAGATAAACTAATCTTGGGCATCCTTTAAAAGCAGGGAGTGTGAGTCAATCCCTGAACATAGGAGAAAGAGGGAAAACAAGAGAGAGGGAGCACACAGATTTTTATCTCTTCAGGGAGGATTCTCTAATCATATTGTGTCAACCATGAGCTCCGAAGGGAGACAGCTCTCATAGTATTTCCTAGAGAAATAACACAAACCAATAAACAATGGGGTAAATGATATCAAATAATAAATATCCCTGTACTATTTCACCAATGTTTCTTTAAATAAGCAGCCTTTTAAAATACTATTTGGCAAGTGAAGGCAAGGACTATTATCCATATTTTGGGATGAATTAATACAGGATATAATAGCAGTAAATGTAGAAATAAATAATAATTTACCAGTGTTCAATGAGAATAGGACAAGCAACAAATAGAATGTGTATATTTTTTCAAGACTTTAATGAAGGCTTGAAAAGGGGATTTGTATAACACTATAAATTAAAAACTTGAATTTTTTTGGATATGAAGGGATGGGATTCTGTTCAAAATATGGAAAATCTTTGTTCCCTGGGTACATAAGGTTAATACTTTTATAATATTCGATATCAACATCAGTTCCATCAAAATAATTGTAATTCAGGTAACTAAAACTGGCTTTACAGGTAAGATATTAATAAGGCTAAGTGAAGGATGAATATGTTTGACTACTTAGAATTAAATTAAACAACTATGTATGTCAAAAGCAACCAAAATCAAATAACAAATGAAACACTGAAAAAAAATGAAGCATCTATGATATAAAGCTACATTTTTTAGAACTTTAAAAATTATCTAGACAAATAAAGACACTCCTACGGAAATAATGACCAAGGACATGGAGAAAACTCTAAATTAAAATGGCCAATAATCATATTAAGAGGTGTCAAACATTAGTAATTTAAAATACTGCAGAAATTGTTGTGAAGATGTAGGAAAATGGTTGTTTCATATAATACTATAAGAAATGTAGGATTATTTACCAGTATAGAACAAGACATCACAAATATGGACCTTTGAAAGTAACTAAATGTCTAAGAATATAAATTGGCTGAATCAACAATTCTACAGCAAGAAAATGATATTACGGAAGAGGTAAAAAAATGGGATAATAAAACTTCGTGACATATTTCAAGATGGATAAAGCAGGCTACAAAACACTATAGTATAACACCTTGTAAAAAAGTATTGCATATATGTAAGTAAAGGAACATATACCAAGTTTTTTTTTTTTTTTTTTTTTTTTTTTTGAGACGCAGTCTTGCTCTGTCGCCCAGGCTGGAGTGCAGTGGTGCCATCTTGGCTCACTGCAAGCTCCACCTCCTGGGTTCACGGCATTCTCCTGCCTCAGCCTCCCGAGTAGCTGGGACTACAGGCGCCCGCCACCACGCCTGGCTAATTTTTTTTTTTTTTTTTTTTTTTTGTATTTTTAGTAGAGATGGGGTTTCACAGTGTTAGCTAGGATGGTCTTGATCTCCTGACCTTGTGGTCTGCCCGCCTCAGCCTCCCAAAGTGCTGGGCTTACAGGCGTGAGCCACCGTGCCTGGCCAATTTTTAATACTTGTATCTTGATAAGATAGTATTTATGGTAAGGTTAATTATTTTTCCTTTTTCTGCACTGGCGTGAGTTAATATTTGAATGATCAAAACGCTAATGAAAATTATATATATATATATATATATATATAATTGGCATGAGATAGGACATATAAAACCCTTCTGTCTCCTAGAGAGAACAAAATCTTCTCATGATTGGAAGAAATAATCTGTTTATTTAATGTCTCGATACCAAATGGAAACTATTTTTATTAGAACATAAGAGAGGTGATTCTCTAAGAAGTAAGTGTCATGAGTGGGAGTTAACAAATAGCTATTTTATAGCCACAACAGAAACGTTAGTCTAAGATTTGTTTTCCTATGTAAAACAAATATGTACCGATGTTTTAGGAAAGAATTAGCAGGATGACTTATAATTATTTAAGATCTTTCATGCTTTTTTGGGTTAACTAGATTCAGCTGGGAAGTTCTCGCTTGGGGACTTTTTGTGACTGCAAGTTGAAGTCCCAGTTGGGCTGTTTTTCTAAGATGGCTTATTCACAGGGCTGGCTGTTGATGTTGGCTAGGATCTCACATGGCACTATTGACCAGAGTGCTCACATATGGCTTCTCCATGTGACTTTGATTTATCTCGGGATAAGATCTAGGTTGATCTTAAGTGATAAGTGGAGTGTCCTAAGAGAGCATCCTATGTACCCAAATAGAAACTCCAGGCCCATATTAGACAGGTAATAAACCCTTGTTGAAGAATCATTCTTATAACCCCTTAACTTTCCTCCTCAGACCATTATATGCTATTTTAATAACATATCTACCTGTATGTCTAGGCTATCTACCCCAGGATTAGTCTTGTTGTCTCCTTGGCTTGCTATTGTATTTACAGTGACTGACATTGACTTAGGACCTAGTAGGCACTTATTATTTGCCAAATAGTGAATAAACAAATGAATAAATGCAATAGATACAAAAAAGAGGGATTTTATGTTCTACAGTGACCAGAATCAATGCTAATTTTCCTAATTATGGAAATGTAAAAACCGTGCCTACTGGATCTTTAAAACATGAATACATTGGTGCCCATCTAAACAATGCCAAAAATGCTCGTGAACATTCAACATGGCTATTTTATTTGAAATTAGCAATGCCATTTTTTTACACCAATTAAGTATCACTTACCAGTTAATTTCAGTCACATACATACTTGCATGAGAATTAGATTTTGAATCTGGTGAAGTTAGAGTATTTTGTCTTAAATCCAGAAATTTAAAAAATAATAAAAAATAATGTATAAATCTTCTAAGAAGTTTCTTTACGTTGTTGTGGTTTTGAGATTTTCAATAGTACCAGGTATTTTAAATTCTTTGTAGACAATAAATGTTTTTTTAATCTAGAAATAAATTTCAATGTACGTTGACATACTGCTTTTCTCTATAAGAACTGAGGAGGGAGGAAACTTTGTTTTCTTTTCCCAGTTTTAAATTATTGACCTTATCAAATATTTAGATTCTTGTGAGTATTCTAGAGTAAGTGAATTATAAAGATAGGATAGTAGTTGAAGTTTGAATGTTAATACAATATATATGGGTCCATGGAATTATGGTAAAATTCATATTATATTGTCTACCTTCTTTTCCTTAGTTATTTTAAATACTCAGCAAATATATACTAAGAATCTTCTAAGTGAAGAGTAGTATATATGATAGGGGCTAGAAATGTGTTAGACATAGCCCCTGATACCAAGAAACTTAAGATCCATTGGGAGAGTCATTCACATAAATGGAGTATTTTGGGAGCACAGAAGAAACACAGTTACCTCATACTGGAGGAGTTAGGTCAAGCTTCTTGGAAGAGATAAGGTTTCAATAAAGGCTTAAATATTAAGGAAAATTTATTAGTTAAAAATAAAATTGAGAATGAGAAGGAAGATACTTTTAGTAGAGAGAACAGAATAAATAGACACTCAGAACCTAAAAACAGCATAGTATGTTCAGTGAATGAGAAGTATTTTTATGTGTCTGGCACATAAAGTGTGAGGTCTACAATGGTCAGAGATAAGGCTATAGGGATTGGCATGAACCATTGCGGCTTTCCTGATAAATTTGAATTTTATCCTGTAGATATGGGGGTGGTGCAGGATTTTAAGCAATATCATAATGTAACTCACTATATTGCATTTTCAATAGATCATTCTGTGTAGAAGAATAGTATGGCACTGGATACAAGTACATACTATAGAGAAACTTCACACATTGTTTAAAAATTATAAATAATGTATATTATCATCTTCAAAATATGAAAATTAAGTTTGCAAAACACTTCTTATTAACTACAATATATTCAGAAAATGATGCTGAGGCACAGAAGCTGGCAACCTATAATTCTATGCCCAGCCTAAATAACATCAAAGAACAAGGGGAATTAAGGCAATTCTAGACAAAGAATAAAAGTGTTCATGTTTCACAGATCATCACAAAAATAATATTTAAGGGATGAATTTTAGCAATAATAATGTAGAGAAATGAGTAGATTTTTAAAGAAATAATAAAACAAAACAGAACAAAACTTGTGGTGAGCAAATAATACTGTCAAATGTAATTAAATACTGGGGTCATCAGAAAACCATGTCTTACATAAACAACATAGTATTAAATTTCCTAACCAAAAAAATGAAGACAGTTAGATAAGGCAGGGAGTGAGGTATTCAGTGAGGAGTTCAAATATGTTAAAGTTTTTTATTATCCTTAAGAAAGGGATATAGATTCAAAATAGCTAAGGTTATTTCTTTAAAAAATACATAGTACATTTAATTATGAAAGAACAATAAATTTTTTTCTAAACTTTCCTATTATTTCTGTTTACCACTTTTTTCCTCTGTGTGGCTCAGATAAGCTCAAAGTGGAAGTTCCTTCATTGTTTTCTCTATATTCTGGTGGTAAAAAAATGATCAACAGACGGAGCCTAAAATTTATGGAGCAACTATAACATATAAAGTATTTTACTGCACTTGTATTGTTAGTAGAATGAAACTTCCTTTACATTTTTAATAATGTAATATTAACTGGTCGTCTTTGGGAGAGTTTAAAGAGACAGTTCATACACCCATTCTCCATTCACAAATAATTGAGGTCACCTGGTCCTGTTTGTGTCTCTGTCCTGAGGAAGACTTTAGGAACAAGGGTCCATTCTTCAGCATGCTTAGCAGCCTCTGCTGCTTCATGCACTCATATTTATCTGAAACACAGTAAATTGGCAGGGTCAGTGTACATTCAAACAGGGAGTCCTAATTGAACACTTCTACATGTAATCCTGAGTACCTTTGTACCTGTCTACAAATGGAGGTGTGTGGGAAGTAGGAAATGAGGAGAGTTAGAGGAAAATTAAAAAAAAATTGGGAGCACTGTCTACAGAAAGAATTATCCTCTCAGTTGGCTCTGAAAATATTATTTTTCATTATACATATCTGAGGGAAAATTACTGTTCCTTCTGATAACAGTTTGTTTGTAAACTTTAATATTTTATTAAATACAAAATTCAGAAATTTAATTGTATTTCAAACAAAAATATATCACTACTATCAAGAATACATAATCTATAAGAAAATAAGAAAGTGTTAGAAGCCTATGACCTCAAGCTCTGTAGATGATACATATGTTAATTTGTACCACTAGATACAAAACATGGTTTCTCTGTAACCATGACTGGCTATTCAAACACTTTCACATAAAATAAGAAATTATATTTTTGACATAACTTTATTTAAAATGCGTTCCTCTACAAACTTCCCAAGGAAATAGTCTCAGTTCTATTTTATATGGCTCTTCCCTCCTGGATATTATAAATGCTTTTCTATTATTCTAATCTTCTGGAGGTATTTTTGTAGTTAATATAAATTATTAGAGTCTTTTTTTCTGTAATATAAACACTTCAAAGGTAGCTTTTCATTTGCCTGGGCATGCCCGTGCAGACTTTCTTTGTCATTTATACTGGAGAGATAATGCTTCTTGTCCCACCAAAAGTCTATGCCACGAAAGGAGGCTAGTCTAATTGTATATTGCTACTTGCTCTGGCTCATAGAATGTCACGAAACTTTAACTACAGAGAAAAAAAGACTAGGTATGACATGCCTCGATTTCAACATAATAAAAATAAAATACTTCTAGCTGATATTTTCTTAAAACGTCTCACTGGAATATTTTTTTCTTCGTTTACCATTAAATTATCTTGATAGAGTTTTGAAGGTCTTTAATCAACCCCTACACTTTTTGTCTTTAGATTAATATGCTGTGTCAGAAATAAGTGAGCCTTGGGTCTATGGAAATTACATGAGCATTGAAGTGGATCCTAGTGGCAGCTGGGTGCAATTATAAGTTAGTTCAAGTTGCCTTCTATGTCCCCTTGGGTATGTCCTCTTTCCCTTCTTCTAACAATTCTTCCATTTTTCTCTAATTACATCTTCCTGATCACAGCCAAAGATATTAGTTATATTGTATTGGTATTAGCATGTTTTGTCCCTTTATTTTTTGGAATATAATTATCATTCTCTGTTTAATGATTTTTAAATGTCAGCACACAGTTAGGTTATTTGACACCAGAAAGCCATTGCCATTTGGTGTGGGGAAAACCCAAGCTTTACAGAGAAATTGGAATCAGAATCTTTCCTCTACACTATTTATCAGATGTGTGACCTTTGTCAAGTCAAGTAACATTTCTGAGGCTCATTGTCCTCATAGATAAAGTGGGGTTCATGAAAATATCACAGAGAGTTGTGACGGCTGGAGAGAGTAAAACCCCTAATATATAAAAGAAACTAAATACATGTTGGCTTCTTTGTTTTTCCCTTGCTTTTACAACTTTTCTGTTTAAACTAATTCAAAACAATACTACTTATCTTTAAATTTATGAATATCAAGACTAGCTCTGAGATAATATTTTATGAGACATATTTTGACTTTAGAACACTCCTATCTTAGGAACTTGAGTTTAAGGACTTAATCCTGGTCCTTGGCAGCCTTATGCTTCCTCCTTCCTTCTCTCTACTCAAACCTGTTCTTAGGAAATCATCTGCTAATTTCGTTTACTCATAGTTGAAAATGACTCATGAGATTGAATGCTCCCAGGGAAATTTGCATTTTAACAGAGCTCAAAATTTTTACAGTGAATGTATATTCCCTAATAGGAGAATTCAGAGAAACTAGTAATAGACAGAGGATGAAAATTTATTTTCTTTTTTTATCTGGACTCTCCATAGGCATCACTCATATTAAACCACATAAACCTCTGTCCTTTGAACCTTCCCCATGATGATTGAGGCTGTGAATATTTTACTCTGAAAAGAAAGAAAGATAGCAGTGGTAATATGCATGACCTCATGAGGCAAGAAAGCCACATAAGGCATTTGACTAATTTGGGAGTTAAGCATTATGAAGGCACACTTGTCATGAGAGGACACTTTCAGCTCCTGTCCTGAATCATTCATATATCTTCACTGAAGCTAAATGCTTTAAAATTCTCTGTGACTTTAACCTCTGATTCATCTCACTTCAATATATGCGATCCTATATTCTAATGTATCCTAAAATTTCTTCATACATTTTTTTCCAATCTTTAACATTTAAGTCTGCCATCTGCTTAATTTGTTTTACTGTGCGGGATTTAGCTGGAAGCACAGTGAAAATAAAGCACTTATGGTGAGTAGCTTTCCTGCTGAAAGTAACAAAAAATAAAACAAGGCCTATAAAATAAGCACTTTGTTGAATATTCTTAAATAGCAAATGTCAGAAGAGGTAGGTCAGAGGCAACATTTGCCTAAATGTGCTGAGGGCAGTAATTGTGTGCATATTTGGGGTAGGGAATGGGAAGAAAGAACAACGGGTAGCACAGGGGATAAAGGTAATTCTACCCCTTTGATACGGATGTAGAGATTGTATAAACATGGTCAGTGCTCACTCACCCTTGTGGGGATAGGGCTGTTCTCGGCGCAAACAACATTTCTCTCTGTGTAGCATGACTTACACAATGGCATGAGTTCCTTTTATTAAGAACTTCATTCATTTTAAGTCCA
The DNA here is from genome assembly GCF_000001405.40 of Homo sapiens. Lineage (NCBI taxonomy): Eukaryota > Metazoa > Chordata > Mammalia > Primates > Hominidae > Homo > Homo sapiens. The sequence continues at coordinate 68,237,503 of NC_000006.12, read as the reverse complement.
GGCATATTGTTTGCCTTTAGTCTGGCATAAAATAGGTTTGAATCCGTTCACTCATCCGTTCCACGGTGATTTTCTCACCTGTACTATGAATAAGTGGCACTTATGAAAGGAGTAGGTGCTTGGATTCTGTGTGTAGGCCATCTGGTTTTGAATTCCAACTCTGCCATTTAATGGTTATGCAATGATGAACAAATAGCATAAATACTTCATGCTTCGTTATTACCATCTATAAAATAATGATTACAACACCTCCTATTAAATGATGAAATATATTTAAAAGATAGCTTCTGAAACAGAATAAGTACTCAAAATTGTTCAATAGAGCAATTTGTGCTACGCACAAGAAATCATTGAGGCTGTTTTCCTCTATTTCTTTGTATGGTTCTTCTGTAGCCTGCTAAATTAACTTCTTATTTTTTTTAATTTTATTATTATTATTCTTTGAGTTTTAGGGTACATGTGCACAATGTGCAAGTTAGTTACATATGTATACATGTGCCATGCTGGTGTGCTGCACCCATTAACTCGTCATTTAGCATTAGGTATGTCTCCTAAAGCTATCCCTCCCCCCTCCCCACACCCCACAACAGTCCCCAGAGTGTGATGTTCCCCTTCCTGTGTCCATGTGTTCTCATTGTTCAATCCCCACCTATGAGTGAGTATATGCAGTGTTTGGTTTTTTGTTCTTGCGATAGTTTACTGAGAATGGTGATTTCCAATTTCATCCATGTCCCTACAAAGGACATGAACTCATCATTTTTATGGCTGCATAGTATTCCATGGTGTATATGTGCCACATTTTCTTAATCCTGTCTATCATTGTTGGACATTTGGGTTGGTTCCAAGTCTTTGTTATTGTGAATAGTTATTTTTTTTAAGTAGAAAATTGTCTTTCTATTGACTGTGAGCATGGAGACTTATTTTCTTGAAATAAAATAAGCACAGAGGACCCATCTCCTTACCTTTGGGGGGATTTTTTTTGTTTATTTTTGTTTTTGTGTTTAAGATTTGAATGTATCAAATCAGTAAGTTATCTCATGAGGAGACCAAAGAACATCAAAGATAATGTAATATGGGTTGGTAATTGGAACTGAAACTGAGCTCATACTAAAGATTTGGGAAAAATGAGTATATAGCAATGAAAGGGAATATTTTGAGTGTCCAGATTTGAGTCCAAAGATCAGTCCTAGTGAGGAGCAGTAGAATGGGGAGACACAAAGAGTAAAAAGGTTGGTCTCACAAAAACACCTGGACTAGGGTCAGATTGCTATGCAATGAAGGACAATTACTATGCAATGAAGGACACTTCATTCTCAGTGAAAGGGAAAAAAATAAATGTTCACTAGGTTCATCGCATAGTAGTCCACAAACATTTTCTATTCATACATGTATGTTAAAAAATGCCAGTTCTAACCTAATGCAACTACTTTAACATAATACTGAAAATGCATTTGCCCTCTCCCCAAAGATTGATAATCCAAAGTCTTAAATTCAATTTCTACATGCAGTTCCAAAATTAGAATCTTTGGATGAGATAACTCACTCTTACTCAGATTAGATGTTGCACTAAATAAATTTGTAATCTGCAGCTACATGATGAATCAAAAAAGCCCCAACATATCAAGTCCAAAATTAAGCACTAAGACTAGAATAAACACATAGAATAAACATTTTCACATGAAAAACAAGAGAATAGTAAGTAGCATACAGTGGCCTTTGAGCTAGAGCACATATTAGTTCTGCTGGACAGAAACCAGTGGCTGTGGTTCAGTGGCAGATGAGTCAATGTCTTGACCAAACTGCCTCTCTCTGCCCTCTTGCAGGACATGCCCTGGACGTTTTCCTCCATGGCTGCATCTGAGATTATTGGAGGATTTCCATTTCTGGAACAGCACTGTTTTGGTAGGCAACTTCCTTTTTGTGTAAACTCATTGATGTGCTAATTGTCTGAGGCATTGAAAATTTGCCAATGTTGAGGTTTTTCTGGGAAGATAATGCCCTTAAAACTTCAGCTGACTTTTGTTTGACTGCTACCTGCTTCCTCCCTTGACTGGTAACTAGGCTCAAAGAGTCTCATTTTAATCTAAATTTCATTCTGGTGGTTTCTGTTTCTTAGCAACCCATTTCACTGTTTCTGCCCAGGGCAGTGAGACTAGTAATCTGTTCTTTATTTTTGGCTGCATTAGAGTACATAGTTGTTAATACTAGGGCCACTATTTTTTTTTTAATTTTTTGGACAGGAAGTGAACAATGATTGTTTGAGTTTAGTCATGTCTTGATTTACTATTTGGATGTTTTGTTCTGTGTAAATTTTTATATTTTTTATTTTTAAAAATATTTCATTAAATATTATATTTCTTGATTACCAAGATTTTTTAGTGCCTCCTTAAATTTTGTGCTTGAAATATGTGCCTCAATTATCTCACACTAATCCTGGCCTTGCAGGATAAAGTTTCTTCTTGGTGTCTGGCTTCTGGGCTCTAATACAAAATTTGCTGATTTCCCTTCCCCCTTGCACCTTTGCTTTCACTGACTGTCTTGGAATCATATTTATATGATTTGGCTTTTTCAACCTGTAAGACATGCTCATATAAATTTTGGCAACTTTGATATCTTGGATGTCACCTTTGTTAGGGAGAAATGGTTGCTACTCTCTGCTTTGAGGGAAGTTAGTTTAAGCCAAAATTGGTCTTAGGACCTTACTAAAGTCTCCAGGAAGCATTCAATAAACTCTAGCATCAAAACAGATGTTTTTGTTTTGTTTGTTTGTTTGCCTGCTTGCTTGTTTGCTTGGCTCTAATGTGCCCTAAAGCTCCCAGACACTTTATTTACATTGTCTGATTTTCAAGATACAACAGGTAAAAACTTAACCATATTCTCTACCATCACATAAGGAGGTTGATAAACTTCCCAGTAAGAGATGGGAAATCATTTCTGTCCTACTGCTTACCTTGACCTAGCTAAATTCATATTTGAATTCCTCTCTCATGCAATATTCCACTTTCCAGTACCAATTTCTGCATTTAGTCAGAATTCTGTTAGTTAAAGGTATCAAAGAGTGAGTGCAAACTCATTTATTCAATAAAATTGACTAATGTAGCAAGGGAGGGGGAGAGGTTCTGCTTTAGGAACAGCTAGATCCAGATTTCCAAACAATGCCATAAGGTCTCTTTCTCAGCATATCTTAATCTGCTTTCTTTGCTTGGCCACATTCCCAGCAAGTTATTATTGTATGGTGATAAATTGATCAGGCTCGAAATTTATATCATATATATTTATATTATATATATACATATATATAATATATATACATATATAATATATATACATATATAATATATAATATATATACATATATAATATATAATATATATACATATATAATATATAATATATATACATATATAATATAATATATATATATAAAAATCGAGATCCCATTGAACAAAAACTTTCCCCACAATAGTGACAAAATTATGGGAGAAATTCTGGTTAACATGGCTTAAATCATGTACATTTCACTGAAATAACTGCTATAACTAAGTGTCCTCTGGTCATAGTTTACTCGGATTGGCCAGGTTTTGGTCACATGCTTACTCATGAGCAGGGAATGTGAGTTTGTCCTAGTACAAACACAAGACTGCACAAGATTACTAATAAGTGATAATAAAGTGGTTCCTCAAAAGATGGAATGTAGAGAAGACAAAGAATAATCCATGATAATATGACTCATCTGCTCTGAGTGCGGAGAGGCAGTAGGGTTACATCTTAAAGCTCTGGAGGAGAAGGACAGAGAGTGAGGTGATCAAATGAAGTAATAGTTGTGAACATTCACAATTCAGGATGGACTGTCCAGAGTGACTGCTCTGGTCTTCCTTGGAGTAAAAAAGACATTAGCTCGGAACATTCTTTCCCCCACCTTGGTTGGCTCAGCCCAGGGATATGCCAGCGTTTCTTTTTAGGATGGCAATTTTCTCCCTGCAGTTAAGCAATCCCAATGGAGTGTGTGAAATGTATGTTTTTTGTGTTGAGGAGGCTGGGGAAGACAATGCATTAAAGAAGCTTTTCTCCCATCCTGTGTAGTAACTAGGAGACAGGGCACACAGTGAAATGCATTGCATAAATATATTTTTACAGACTAGATTCTTCTTTACAATTTTTCATTGGTCAAATAAACTCTGGTATGTTTTTAGTATTACCGTAAAATTCTTAGTAATCTTCTTGCTGTTCAAAATACTGTGCCTACAAATAACATAAATCAGTAATTTTAAATCACGTGCTAGATAAAATTCTGGGCACTGAATAAAACTGTTTTAAATGAATATTCTTTAGCAGATTTTAGTTGAGTACTTTAAATTCCTTCAACATGTATGAGTACATTCAGTTCGGAAATGAAGCAAATGCTTAAGAAATGGTTACATAAGCTGGCCCCTTCTCCTCCTGTATGTGTGGGGAACAAGCTGTCTCAAGGGCACGTAAGGCATCTTACTCCCCATAAAGCTCAAGTGAGGGCTCTTTCTTCCCTGGGTTTCAGAAACACACCCCCGGAATGTCCTGTCTCAAACTGGGGAGGGGGAGAATAACTTACTTGAGAGTTAAAGTCTCTTAGGAGCTTTTTTACACATAACTCCTGTATGGGTGATTATAGATTTAATATCTCCTTGATGCCAACACCTTCCTTTTCCCTTTTGGTGGTTGTTAATCCCAAATATATGGACACATAGAAAAGATTTGGTTGTTCCTTGAATCCCTTGAAATGGAAGTAATATTACTAATATGTTAGTATGAATGTTTGTTTCATGAAAGGGCTTATGCAGTGTTATCGAGTATTCTAGAAAGAATTAAAAATTATAACTCATTTAGAGGAAACCAGTTCTGAAAAGATGCTTATGTAACAGATTACAAAAGATGTTTGAATCCCTACGCTTTGATGCATCATATGAAAATGTGAGGTATCAATGCCTAAATTTCTTCACAAAGTTATACTCCTCAGTCTGCTAATAACATTTCTATATTTACCTTTAGGTTGCTGTGATTGAGAAATGGATATCCTCTTATCTGTAATCCCATTATTCTAAGCAGTAAATCCTACTTTCAATAAAGAAATACAGAATTGTAATAGTTCTCCAGTCTCTTCACCATACTTTACACAACACTATGAAAAGATGTGGTGGTTGAAGAGATTCCAGCTCTCATCTGCCACAAAAACTACATTGTGGTATTTCCTCTCCATTACAAGAGTAGGAACTGAATAGGCTCACAGCTGCATTTTCCCTAATCTCAGGAGAGCAAGAAGCTCAGGTTAACTCCTGCTCAAAGGGTTGTCCAAAGCTGACTACACTGGAATTTTAGAGTGTTATGCAGTTTCTTCACTGGATATCCAACATATGGTATGTGACACTAGGTGTGAAATGATTGAAATTTTAATGAACAGTTTACATTTGAGTTTCCAAGGACCCCAGGCATTTAGAGATGGCTGGTCTCTGAAATACTCATGAATGAAAATGACCCCAGGTAACTGAATATTACTTACTCTACAGATGTGTGTATTATACACTCAAATAATGAAATGAAAGCCTCACAGAATGCTGATTGTATTTGACATGCAGTTCCTTGTAATTGTTGCTGAAATAAAGAAAGTGACATAAGAATTTTTTCCACAGCTTCATTATAGATGTGACTAAATACGTTATTTGGGAAGTAAATTATATAATATTAATATACATGAAAGTGGCTTCTGTAGACATATCCTGAATGTCACCACCTCAAGTCTTCTGAATAAAATGCAGCTTTGGTCAATAGACACAATAGCAACTGATTCATTTCATGGGTAAGAAATTGTTTATCATGGCACCTTAGTAAAAACAAAAATCTTAAAAAGTACACATTCTCAGAAATGCAATCAAGTATAAGCATCATCTTTTCTATTCCATAAACAATTTCTGAATAGTAGATGCTTGATTATACAGCATCAAGAAATCTTTTCATGAATATATTAAAAATGAATGCAAAAACTGGTAAGCCCCAGAATAGATTTAATGCACACAGTACACTTTTATAACCATCTGTTAATCCTCCCTGGCCATACAACTCCTCAGCTAACTAGAACTGCAATTAACCAAGCTATCCCAATTCTTAACCATACTGTATAAATAGGCATTTGTTGTATTTTCTACACAAAGAAATGATTCTGTGGGAATTCTTCTAGTGTTTCCATACCTGTCAGTCACCTATAACTACTTTCAAAGAAGATGCAAGCTCCAGAGCAGTGAGAAGACAAAAAATAAAAATTCACTTAAAAGTTTGGCTCCATAAAAATAATTGAAAATTAGTAGAGTCAATGAATTTAGTTAAGGCTCAAAATAAAGATTTGAGATATGTAAGCACGACTGGGGTAAATTATTTGTATTTTCTCATGAGGAGGCTTAGAGCATGGCAAACAACACGCTCCCTAATTTCAAGAAATATCTGGTAATATTATACGCCAACTTACTACTCAAATTTACTCTCTCGTGGTCTGGTTTTGATGCACATTGCTTATGATCATGATTATAATTATTATGATTATGGATACTTTTTGAAGCATTCACGGACAATCTACAAATTATTGGACAACCTACAAATTATTTGAGGTTAGGTATGCAACTCAATAATTGGTTACTTATTTTTATTTGTCTTTAAAAAGTCTTTTTTTCTCCTTGTTTATTCTTTCTCCCTTTTCCTTTCATTCTCCTTCCTCCCACTTTCTTTCTTTCTCTTTTTTCTGTCTCTTATTAATAATTAGAATTATTCTTATACACCTTAATGTACATATGTAGATTTTCCCAGGGAAGTTTGTCATCACCACCTCTACTTTTGCCTCTGTTACTCGCTGTCTTAATTTCCCTGCATCTCAGTGTCTTAATCTAGACCATGGAGATAATAGTCTTTGACACATGGAGTAGCTGAAAGCAATAGATGGATAATGTGCAGGGCCCCTAGCCAAGTTCACACTGGGTGCTCATCGTCCTTTCTGCCGTTGAAGTGTCATAACAAGGTGTTATGCTTCCCCTCTCATTTCAGCGCGGTCCACTGCAGAATGTCTCCTGTAGCAGTCAGTCCCTTGGGGCAATCTCCCATATCTCAGCCTTTGCCTAATATTAACCTTTATCTGCCTTATCTTGTTCTTTAAAGGCTTTGGCCACATCTAAGAGATAGGGCTGTTTGGACAAAACTAATATAATTTACCAGTTGTTTGGATGCATAACTTTCCTAGAAAAGAATTTTTTTTTTTACACTCAACTTCAGTGGGCAATGTCTGTCTTACTCTAACGAAATAAATTTGATGTGAAATATTACAGATGACCTGGCAGGTGTGAGAAAGATAATTTTGGTTTATAGGGTCTTCCCAAGCCCGTTAAATGCTGTCAGGTATAAACTATATACGTGCATTGTAAATTCTGGTCAACTATATGGTACATGCACAGCAATCAAATAGAATTTTCTTCATTACTTTATTAATAAACTGAACATTTCACATATGTTGTTATTGGCTTCATGTTAATTTTTTAATATCTTAGGACAAGACATTTATTGATGTGATGTTTACTATTTAATGTAATTTATCAATTGGAAACTCATTAGTTCTAACAGCAAAACAAGCTTTTTGCTTCTCTGATTAAAATGTTCTGTGTCACATCTAAGAGGATGGGGCAGAGGCAGTGACTCAGAAAGACAGCTGGGTTAGGAAAATATTGCAATCCACAAATGGATGGCCATGAAAATACTTAGAGAAATATGAAGTCCATGACTATTTCCTTCATTAGCATCACAATTGGTTTCTCTGGAATTTGATTGTGGGTAAGAAAGGGTGGTCCAATTTTAATTCCGTAAAAGAGAGAAAAAAAAAACAAAAGTTATTTAAATCTCTGCTGAGGATACAACTAAAGAAACACTGATTTTCTTAGTATTGATTGCCCCTTGTTTATACCACATACCTATTCCTTCACTATTACATCTCAAATATGTGATTGTGAGATTTTTACCTCCCCAAATATTAACTATTCAATGATCTTTAAGCTTTATAACTTGAATCTTTTCCTACACAAATTTAGCATTGGGAAATATCCCCTCAACTAGTGTCCCAACATAAGATATCCAACATAATGATGGTGTTAATATCCAGAATGTGTAGTGGGTAAGTCATGTGGGGTGAACATAAATTTGGGAAATAATTATAAGACCATTGAAAATACTTAAAATCAAATTTGTTTCATACTCTGCACCAATTTCAAAATATACAATTTTTGTCTTAAGACAGCAAATACAATATAAAGAGAACTATAAGTGTTATGTTATAAAGAAACCTACCACTGCCACATGTCAGTTATCTGCCTGTGCCTGTAGCATTTTTTTCTAATCTTTTTTATTTTTCTGAATGTTCAGAATTGCAACCCAGCATCCTCTATTTTACTGAACTCTCGGCGTTAAGGCCTAGTGAATGTGACCTCGCCTTATTTACTTAGGGGAATTGCCCATTAGTTATCTTGAACTTTAACATTCTTTACTCCCAAGTTGGTAGAAAGGGAAATTGTTCAATAATTGATCTTTGAAGTTATTCCAATAGATTAGGTACGCTGATTTTATTTTATTGGTTAGCAGTTATGTAAATTTTTTTAAAAAATATATGTAGAAAAACAATTTGATCCAGTGTATTTCACATTTAACCCATGCCTACCAGTTTACTAATATCAATTGTTTACATCTGGTATCAATTTTTATTATTCAGCATCCATGCTTGTTCAATTAAATGTTCTACTATCAACCACATTTGCAGATACTAGAAAATATACAAGTGATTTTATTATTTTTAATTCAAATAAATATTATCTACCAAAGTCTCTGAAATTGATTAATTTCAGATGAATATTCTCAGATAAGTAAAAGTAAAAATTGTATCCTAATCTACAGCAGCCTGGACACATTTGGACTTTAGAGTTATTCATGGAATTATAAATAACACAAGTGTAAGCAGCACAGTGCAGCTAGTTAAATATGATAATATGTAATTATACTTTCCGTGACATTTTCTCAATGGTACACAATACCTCTAAACAACGGGTCTATGTTTTGTTTTTTTTTTTCTGTATCTGTATCTGTGTCTATCATTGTTAAGGAAGTACATTCAATTTTTCTCCAGTCTAGGAAAATAGTATTATTTTTCTAAATTACTTGTGATAATCTATATAGAGACTAAGAATATTTTCTTCATAATATGAAATGCCATTTTGGCTTTTTAGTCTTCACAGGGATATTTTCAGTTCACAGAATAGATATTTTTGAACAAAATCAAGCACATGATTTTAAATATTATTTGTATAGTGGTCTGTGTGTATTTCTATCATATCTGTGTTCATAATACTTATTAGCTATTAGAGTATGTGTGTTTATTCATTACTGCATCTTCAGCATTCAACCCTTTGTCAAGGCCACAGCAGACTTGAGATAAATGTTGACTCATTGGATGAATGAATGAATTACTTCAATTGCTGAACCTTTACTTTCAATTTGTATGGTTGGGTCTATGACCTCTCTCTACAAATATATTCAGAATTTCTTAGTGTTGAACTAGAATTTGAACTATAATCTTGTGGTACATCTAAAAATGTATCATTTTTCAACATTCATGAAAATAAACGGCTACTACGCCCTAAAGAAGATGAAAAATTGTTTACAAAATTAGAAACTCAAAAATGTTTTGGGGGGCACAAAATATTGCATTAACTTTGCTCAAAGTTATCATTAACATGGTTACTCAACCAACAAGTCCAAAGACATTAGAGCATCTTTTGAGTCCTTGTGTGGGGCCTGGACTTGCTTCATCTGTCATACGAGTGGATGCAATAAGATTGAAGACGATTCCAAAATAAAACAAAAACAAAAAACAAAAAACAAACACAGATGAAGGATTGGCAGGTAATTGCAAAGTTGCAATACTAAAATGAAAGCAAACAACAAAGAAGCCACTAGCAATAATTAAACTCAGAGTGGTGGTGGGGCAAAGAGTACAGCCCTTGTTAGATGGAAAATATTTTTGCATCATACATATTTATGGTCTCTAGCAAATTTCACTGATCTGTTGAGAATTAATATCCCTGTTTCCTCTCTTTTATTGTTCTTATGTATAACTATCTCTCCTTTAAAATAAACACTACAATCTTCCATTCCTCTAGCCCCTGAAAAGTAGCAGCAATGTGCCCTGCAACAGAATCTGCACACTACAGAGATACTACAAAAGCTACCATGAAGAAGCTACATAGATGATCACTGGGTTGTACCTCTCAAGTACTTTCTCAGAAGCCACATCCATGTTATTGCTGAGAGTACATGCTTTGCTATAAACCCTAACTGGGTTGAATCCTGGCTGTGCCACTTAGTAGCTAAGAGATTTTGACCAAATCACTGGCAGAGACCTTTGTCCCCTTGTCTATGAAATAAAATAAAAATAGCTACCGCTCTGAGATTTTTCAATAAAACCTGTTAAATTTTACAAGGTTAACTGGCTAGTATTTAAGTTTTGCATTATCATGTGCTATCCTGGCCATCTTGAGAGCTGTGCTGATAACTGGCACATGAATATGTCTACATATTTCAAGTTAAATCTGCTGTCATATCAGAATATAATTTTATAAAACTAAGCTTATTATCTTTTCTTTTGAACTTTTCCTGTTCATTGTTTTTGCCAATATTTTACTTAAAAGGATCAACTTGCTTTCGTACGTAAGAGATTTCTGGAAAATACATTAGAAAGTCAAGCATGTTTTTACAAAAAATCCTGAAACAACTAGGGGGCAGTGCTGCCAAACGATAGCTCAAAATCATCATTAGTCAGCTGAGGTGTGAAAAACCATTTAGATCCAAAAAGCAGATGAGGGATTGTGATGGAATGTATTAATTAAATTGAACATCATATGAAAGCCAAATTCATGGTAGATGCAGACCACCATATTTTTCTATGTATGGGAACTTATAAGCCCTGAGTCACCTTTGACTATTCCTTATTCCCATATTCATGAGGCTCAGCCTCATCTTTGTTGGGGTCTTATTTTGTTGGTAATGTATTTTTCATCAGCCCTTTCCTTCTTCTCATAATTCCAGTCTTAAGTCAACTTCTTATCACTGAGACTAATCAATACCTCTTACTTGATACCACTACATTTAAAAGATATTGGCTTTCCAAAATTCAGCTTTCCTCCCCAAGAGGCGTTATAAAATGCACTATAACATGCATGAGGTTCTGGCCCTTGCTGTCAGAAATATCTGCATTTGCAACTTGGTTTCACTATGTACTGTGAGAGTTTGGGTAAATTGATTAAACTGGCTTAATCTCAGATTCTCAACCTTAATTAAATAATTATTTAGAAAATGCTCTCCCTTCATTGCACATTCCCCTTCCAATTCCTGCCTTGTTTCTCAGCTTTTTAAATAGACTCCTTGTAAATAGTATTTGTACTGCTATCTCCATTTCTTCACCTCCTGTCTCTCTCTATAGCATACCAACTAGGCTTTTGGGACTACCTGTCTGTGAAAACAGCCTTTGTCCTCCTAATTTTCTGCCTTTTGTTTTAGGCATTGTCAGCCCTTCTCCTCTCCTCCCCTCACCTAATCCTTTATCTTCTCCTCTCTCCCTTTCTGCTCCTTTTCTTTCCTTTTCTAGGTAATGTCATTGTCTCTTAACTTTAAATAATAACTATACACTGACACTCTCAAAATCTGAATTCCACTCTAATAAAACAACTTGTTTACTCATAATTTTGAACTGTGTCTGTCATTTCAAATTTTACATAACCCATGGGAATTTCCATTTCTGTCCTCTGAAACTTCAAGTCTTTCTTATTTCAGTTTATGCTACCACCATCCACTTGCCGCTGCAAAAATAAAGAATAACAACAACAATAAAACAAACAAACAAACAAACAAAAAGAGTCATTCTTAATTCTTCTCTTTATGCTTGCCCTATATCTGATCTCTCTGGTTGAATTCAGTCCGGTGGGCTTTTACCTCCAAAACACATATCCATATCTTTCCCATATATGTCCACTGCTTATGCTGCCAATGTAGCTCAAAGAAGACTGTAACTGTTTTTTCTGCATCTACTCTTGTACCCTTTACAGGCTATTTTCTACACAGCATGCACAGTCTATTAATAGCGGTTATTATATCAGGTCAGTTTTTTTCTTAAAACCCTCTAATGACTTCCCGTTGTAATTTGAATATGATATAAATGCAATGCCACTGCCTAGAAGGCCCTGCTTGCTTTATATACTATTTTTAGCTCCAAATTCCTCTCAATACACTTTCTTAGACGCCATCGAGAAACAGTAGCCTTCTTTCAGTCTCTATAATCACACCATCCTATATGGTAGCTATGAGTCACAAATGACTATGATTACTTAAAATACAATCACCATATCTAAATATTCTAATTTGAATTCACTTTGTAAGTCTAAAATATGTAGCATATTTTTAAACCTTAGTATAAAAAATTAAAGTAAAATATTTTCATTAATATTTAATTTGATTATATGTAGAAATGCTGTTTAGGGTATATTACATAAAATAAGACAAAATTTAGTATTATTGTAATTGAACCACTTTAATTTTACTCTTTAAATGTCTCCTAACAAATTTAAGATTACATATGTGTCTTGTATTGTATTTCTAGTGTACCACATATTTCTAGAACCAGCTAAACTTACTTCTCTCTCAGAAACTTTGTAATTTTTCTTTCTGGTTATCTTTTCTTTTTAATATTCTCCCCCAAAAAGTTCAATTTATTGTTTGTTCACCTCTCAGATCTCAAGTCAAATTACATTTCTTCAAAATGTTCTTGATTGATCATCCTACATAAAATTTTCCTGCTCTTGGCTTCCCAGTTCTACTATATTTACTCTTTATAACATTTCCTCTTTCATTTCATTCTTAGCTCTTCTAATTCTTCAGAATTATTAGTTTGGTCATGTATAAGTTCAGCGAATGGAAGGATATCTTCTACGTTGTCAATTTCTGTGTCCTAGGATTCTATCATAGTTAATGGCACGTTGTAGATACTCAATTTATAATAATTCATTGAGATACTGAATCACTTGCTGGCCAACTGTCTACAATACTGTCATTTTAACTTCCATTTTCACATACCCCATGCCTAGCAGTTTTTTTTTTTTCTGAGATTATAAAAAACAATTTCAGTTGGGGAAAAAATAAACTAGGATACTCAAGTTTGTCATTAATGGGGTATAGAAAATGCCACCCCAAAATGTGGAATCTTGCCATACTGAGTATTTTAAAGCTGAAATAAATTGAGAAAACTGCAGAAGCGGGAAGGTCTCTCTAACTTTGTCCCTCCCCTCTCTCCTAAAGAACCTCATGTGACAGATGTCCTGTCTTACTACAGGAGAGAAGAAATGTCACACGGAGAGTCCAAGAAGAATCTGAACAAACAGGCCTTGTTAAGTTTACCCCAGTTTATTATCCTTAGATCATACTCTTTTGTGCTCCAATCACACTTTTGTATGACTTTCTGTAAAAATGCACAGTTTTCCCTGGTTCTTTCCATGTTCAATTCTGAAGGCTTTGTTTCATATAAAACTTACGTTAAATAAATTTGGTTATCCTATTTTTTTGTTGTTAATTTGTCTTTTGTTGTAAAAGCCTCAGCCATGAACCTTGTGATGGGTGAAAAATATTTTCTCTCCTACCTCATGTTGGTGAATACATGCCTAGCTTCAGTTCTCATTGCGATACGAAAACACAGGCAGGAGCTTCCTCAGTTTTTGAATTTCTCACAGTTTGCATAATCTGTACATATTAATTATTCAATAAATTCATGTTGATTTTTTTCATAAACCACGAGGAGCAGATGCATCAGATCTTTAATTGAATCTGATCTTGTTAGAACACATATAGATTCAGCTGTAGTCAGTTGCTTTTCAAAGATTCCCATGGAAACCTACAAAAAGGAAGGTAATAAGAGAAACAAAGATATTAACTCATTTAAGTTTCACCAAGTGATATCCATTTGAATCCTTTATAAAAAATTCTTATTTTTTATAAAGAATAGAGATGTGTTTTCTTTAATATTGATCAGTTATGCTTTCAATTACAAAAAATCAGAGATGCATTTGTTGTGAATCCCCCTAATAAGCAAAGTAGAAACATACAGAAATGCAGTGTAAAGACTGACAAACAAACAGATTCCTTTGCATGAGTTCCCTTTTTTACACTTTTCTCGGAGAGCATTATATTCCCTTCTTATTTAGAGCTGGTTATTTGAGAGGGACAAGTTGGTATATCTTAGGTTGCTTTCCATAATGAAGGAAACTTGTCCATACCTGATGTAGAAGATACAGAGATGTGTCTTCCACATCCCCGTTTAAGAAAAGAAATGCTAGCTGCAAGGAGCGTGGTTATCAAACAGCCTCCAGCTATCAGCTTCTTTATCGTCAGCCTCAGATTTCAAGCCGAGGTACCAGTCTTCTTAGAGTGGCTGCCAGCCAGTGATTGAACAAGGCAGTGGTCCAAGGGCTTAGCCATGTGCACCTGAAATAGAACTCCTCTAACAGGCAACATTTACTCTAGAGCTCCTTGTGGGGGATACAGCCTCTGTCACATCTAACCATCCCTTCTTCTTCCCCTTCTTTTGCTGATGTAACTTCTTAATAAAAAGAGTTGTACAACCAACTCTGTCTCAATGTTTTCTTCCTATAGTACCCAAACTGCAAAGCCTTCTATTGTCCATAGTGGACACTTCTGGTACCTACTCTGTAGCAGCCATTCTATTTTGTATACTGATAAGGTCTAGGAAAGGAACAACAACAACAAAAATAGTTAATACATTTCTTCCTTCCCTTACTTCCCACCCTGCTTTCCATTCTTCCCTACCTCCTTCCCTTCTTCTTCCCTTCTTTACTTTCTCCTTCTTTTCTTCAATAAATATTTACTTTGCACTTAGGCCCAGGATGTGTAATAATAAATAGAGATAATACATAATTCCTGCCCTAATAGGTGCCTACTCACTAGTAAAAATGAATTTTTAATAAATTGGGTAAGAGAAATTTTAAACAATTGGAAATAGGTAGATGATAGATAGATAGATGATAGATAGATAGACATAGTGTCCTTCAAAGTCACACAATTTCAGATTTCAGGTTTTTATGAATGCGCCAAAGAGAATGAACCCCATGAGTACCCTAGATCTATATAGATTCACTTCTGTTATTTATTGTAAAAGATAATATTTGTTTTTCTGCTATTGGAGTTTATAATGATTAAATTTTAAAAATATCAGTAAGACTGGAAAAATAAAAAAATTTAAGAACTATGAAGTTCACTTAAGTTCAGATATTTTAACAAGTTCTGAGAAATTGGTTGTTCCTTATCTGGATTTACATAAGCCTGGTAGCTTGGATTTGATGTTTCCAAATGCATGTCTTCAGATGGATTATATATTTTATATATATATATATATTATATATATATATAGAATCACTATACATACACATGCATACACACATACATGCATACACTTGAGTCTTGATTATTTTATGTCAGAGGCATCTAGAAATCTGGCAAAAAATGTTTTGTGTAATGTTCACGGAGCTGGGAATTTTAATAAAGGCCATATAATCAAGACAAGTACTATTACTTAAACAGAGCATGTTGCCATATTAGGCCTTGTTCCTCTGTCTGGTTAACAAAAATCTTTAATATGAAAGCATAAACATCTAAACTGATGAAATATTTTCCATTATAGATTTGCATGCATTCAGCAAAAGAACAATGCTTGAGTGTACTACTATTACATAAAAATCCAGAAAACATATTTCTAGAAATGCATTTTCTTATTCAACTATGAACTTTAAGCATAATAGAGCTTTGCAGAAAGAAAACAGCTGCAGCCAAATGTTCTCTCTAAGAGAAGGAACTTGGAGACCAAAAAATGGTTGAATGTTTTAAGTGGTTGTTGATCTTCGTAAGAGTTAAAGTAGGTGAAGGAAACACATACAGAAACACAAATAAACACAAACACAGTGCTCACAAATACACAAGGGATCAGGCTGTCTCTTTGAAAGAAATGTCAAGTATAGGTAAAGGAGATAT
This sequence comes from Homo sapiens, assembly GCF_000001405.40. Taxonomy (NCBI): domain Eukaryota; kingdom Metazoa; phylum Chordata; class Mammalia; order Primates; family Hominidae; genus Homo; species Homo sapiens. Next base: position 68,221,366 of record NC_000006.12, on the reverse strand, counting down.
GTACTGAGAAGGTAAATTGGGCTTATTGCTAGCAGCAATAAGAGAGCAACTATATAAGCAAGCCCTCTTTCCAGGAGCAGCTGAAAGATTTCTTTGAGCATGATTGGACATGGCACCTGGCAAAGCAAACAACATTGCAATTAGGTATGTTTTCCACAAAATAAAAACAGTTCCCCAAGGTTCTGTGTGTGTGTATGTGTGCACACACATGTGTGTTTCTATACCCTGAATTCAGACTTATTCACAGTAATATCCACTTTGTGGCACCTCCTTTTTTCATCGATAATTGAGGACTAAAGGATACAGACACTGCTGAGACAAGTGAGCTGAGGAACTTCAGAAGACCTGAACAAATGAAGAAAAATAATCATTACCTTGCTTGTTTTTTATGAAATGATTTCATTTGGGTGTGAGTTTTTTTCTTTCAAAGACATAGGACTCAAATTGTAGTCAATTAATGATTTAAAGATTCAAAACGACATTTTTGTATTCATGGCCAACTGTATAAAGTCTGGGATGTCGAACTATATATTGAACAAACATTTTCTTTTTGCTGTGAGAAATAAACTTCCTTGCAATTTTACTTCTGTCCTCAATATCCTCTTGATGAATAAAGGGTTGAAGATATCATACAGGTCAATATCATCAACAAAAACACCTTCTATGAAAAAAAGAACAGGCTAAGTATTGTCAACACAAAGATGTATAGTATAGAATTGATATTGTTTGGCTGTGTTCCCACCCAAATCTCATCTTGAACTGTAGCTCCCATAATTCCCATATGTTGTGGGAAGAGCCCAGTGAGAGATAATTGAATCATGGGGTCCTTTCCCCCATACTGTTCTTGTCATAGTGAATAAGTCTCACGATAACTTACGGTTTTATGAGAGGAAACCCTTTTCTCTTGGTTCTCATTCTCTCTTGCCTGCTGCCATATAAGACATGCCTTTCGCCTTCCACCATGATTGTGAGGCCTCCCTAGCCACATGGAACTGTGAGTTGATTAAACCTCTTTTTCTTTATAAATTATCCAATCTCAGGTAAGTCTTTATCAGTAATGTGAAAACAGACTAATCAAACAATATAAAATATGAGACTTAAAATCCATTTAATTATAAAATGTATTTAACTATACATTATTTTATTAACTATACATTTTAAAATACATGTTTACAATTGTTATAGATATGAAATTTGTAAACATTTTGCCATATCTATTGAGCTGAAGTTGGGATAAGTAACCTCCACACTAGCCTCAGAAAATCTCTTTCCTCTATGAAAATCTCTTTCATATTAAGGCAGTATTTAGTGCTTGTTTGTCCCAGGCATTCTGGGAATGGTTGGGAGATATAACAGGAAAATATATTAGCATGGAAGTATGCACTTGTATTTTTGCATATTTTAAAGCCATAAGTTAAAACAATAAGCCCAACAGAAAGATTAGCATAAAGGTTGGACAGGAATCTTTGGGTAGCAACAAAAGTTTTCCCAGTGAATTTGAAAACTTGTCTCCAGCCAATTAGAGACTCCATATACACTGACTTAGGAAGAACAAAAATAAATCATATTTTAATAAGGCCGCTATTTCTGAAGGCACTCTGTTCACTCTCAAAAAAATGCAACGAACTTTCTTGAAGAAGTCTAGTACCAATGAACAATTCCGAGGCTGTATATATTTTTATGGATAAACAATATCTGGAGTCAGATTGACTGAATTTATATTTGATTTCAGACTTTTTAGCTATGTGACCTAAAGCAATTTATTCAAGCTCTTTGACCTTCAGTTGGTACTTTATTTGTACAAATGGGGACAATAATGGAGTTATTTTGAGCATTAAATGAGTTAAAACATGCAAAGTATAGTCCTTGGAACTGTTGTAAATGTTCAATGTATGTTAATGATAAAAAGGGATTCCTAGAGGACTCAAGGGTGGCTGGCAAGATAGCCAAATAGGAACAGCTCTGGTCTGCAGCTCCCAGCGAGATCAATGCAGAAGGTGGGTGATTTATGCATTTCCAACTGAGGTACCCGGTTTTATCTCACTGGAACTGGTTAGAAAGTGGGTGCAGCCCATGGAGGGTTAGCCAAAGCAGGGTGGGGCATTGCCTCACCTGGAAAGCACAAGGGGTTGGGGAACTCCCTCTTCTAGCCATGGAAAGCTGTGAGGGACTGTGCTGTGAGGAACAGTGCATCCCAGCCCAGATATTACACTTTTCCCATGGTCTTCACAACTCACAGACCAGAAGATTCCCTCAGGTGCCTACACCACCAGGGCTCTGGGTATCAAACACAAAACTGGGTGGCCTTTTGGGCCGACACTGAGCTAGCTGCAGGAGTTTTTTTTTATTTTTATTTTTTTTTCATACCCCCAGTGGCACCTGGAATGCCAGCAAGACAGAACCATTCCCTACCCTGGAAAGGGGGCTGAATCCAGGGAGCCAAATGGTCTAGCTCAGCAGATCCTATCACTATGGAGCCCAGCAAGCTAAGATCCACTGACTTGAAATTCTGGCTGCCAGCACAGCAGTCTGAAGTTGACCTGGGGTGCTTGAGCTTGGTGGGGGAGGGGTATCTGCCATTCCTGAGGCTTGAGTAGACATTTTTCACCCTCACAGTATAAACAAAACCACCAGAAAGTTTTAACTGGGCAGAGCCCACCGCAGTTTTGCAAAGCTGCTGTAGCCAGACTGCCTCTCTAGATTCCTCCTCTCTGGGCAGGGCAGCTCTGAAAGAAAGGCAGCAGCCCCAGTCAGGGGCATACAGATAAAACTCCCAGCTGGGTACAATGGCTCACATCTGTAATCCCAGGAATTTGAGAGGCCGAGGCAGGTGGATCACCTGAGGTCAGGAGTTCGAGACTAGACTGGCTAACATGGTGAAACCTCATCTCTACTAAAAATACAAAAATTAGCTTGGCGTGGTGGCAGTTGCCTGTAATCCCAGCTACTCAGGAGGCTGAGGCAGGGGAATCTCTTGAACCCAGTAGGCAGAGGTTCAGTGAGCTGAGATCATGCCATTGCACTCCAGCCTGGGCAACAAGAGTGAAACTCTGTCTCAAAACCAACAAAACAACAACAACAACAACAACAACAACAAACTCCCATTTTCCTGGGACAGAGCACCTGGGGAAAAGGGTGGCTGTGGGCACAGCTTCAGCCAACTTAGACGTTCCTGCCTGCTGGCTCTGAAAAGAACAGTGGATCTCCCAGCACAGCGCTTGAGCTCTGCTAAGAAACAGACTGCCTCCTCAAGTGGGTTCCTGGCCCCCATGCCTCCTGACTAGGAGACACCTCCCAGGAGTGGTCAACAGACACCTCATACAGGAGAGCTCTGGCTGGCATCTGTCAGGTGTCCCTCTGGGACGAAGCTTTCAGAGGAAAAAACAGGCAGTAATCTTTGCTGTTCTGCAGCCTCCATTGGTGATACCCTTGCAAACAGGGTCTGGAGTGGACCTCCAGCAAACTCCAGCAGACCGGCAGCAGAGGGGCCTGACTGTTAGAAAGAAAACTAACAAACAAAAAGGAATAGCATCAACATCAACAAAAAGGATGTCCACACAAAAACCTCATCCTAAGATCACCAACGTCAATAACCAAAGGTAGATAAATCCACAAAAATGAAGAAAAACCAGTGCAAAAAGGGTTAAAAGTATAAAAATCAGAATACCTCTTCTCCAAAGGATCACAACTCCTCACCTGCAAGGAAACAAAACTGGATGGAGAATGAGTTTGACAAACTGACAAAAGTAGGCTTCAGAGGTGGGTAATAACAAACTCCTCCAAGCTAAAGTAGCATGTTCTAACCCAATGCAAGGAAGGTAAGAACCTTGAAAAAAGGTTAGAGGATTTGCTAACAAGAATAACCAGTTTAGAGAAGAATATAAATGACCTGATGCAGCTGAAAAACACAGCACGAGAACTTTGTGAAGAATATACAAGCATCAATAGCCATACCCATCAAGCGGAATAAAGGATACCAGAGATTGAAGATCAGCTTAATTAAATAAAGCATGAAGACAAGATTAAACAAAAAAGAATGAAAAGGAATGAGCAAAGCCTCCAAGAAATATGGGACTATGTGAAAAGACAAAACCTACATTTGATTGGTGTACCTTAAAGTGACGGGGAGAATGGAACCCAGTTGGAAAACACTCTGCAGGATATTGTCCAGGCGAACTTCCCCAACCTAGCAAGACAGGCCAAAATTCAAATTCAGGAAATACAAAGAACACCACAAAGATACTCCTCGAGAAGAGCAACCCCAAGACACATAATTATCAGATTCACCAACGTTGAAATGAAGAAAAAAATATTAAGGGCAGCCAGTGAGAAAGGTCACATTACCCAAAATGGGAAGCCCGTTAGACTAACAGTGGATCTCTATGCAGAAAATCTACAAGCCAGAAGTGAGTGTGGGTCAATATTCAAATTTATTTATTCTTAAATAAAAGAATTTTCAACCCAGAATTTTATATTCAGCCAAACTAAGCTTCAAAAGCAAAGTAGAGATAAATTTTTTACAGACAAGCAAGTGCTGAGAGATTTTGTTATCATCAGTCCTGCCTTACAAGAGCTCCTGAAGGAAGCACTAAACATGGAAAGGCAAAACTGGCACCAACGACTGCAAAAACATGCCAAAATGTAAAGACCATCAACACTATGAAGAAACTGCATCAACTAATTGCAAAATAACCAGCTAGCATCATAATGACAGGATCAAATTCACACATAACAATATTAACCTTAAATGTAAACAGGCTAAATGCCCCAATTACAAGCAAATTGGATAAAGACTCAAGACCCATCAATGTGCTGTATTAAGGAGATCCATCTCACGTGCACAGACACACATAGGCTTTTTCTTAGGAATATTTACCAAGCAAATGGAATGCAAAAAAAGAAAAAGAAAAGCAGGAATTGCAATCCTAGTCTCTGATAAAACAGACTTTAAACCAACAAAGATTTAAAAAGACAAAGAAGGGCATTACATAATGGTAAAGGGATCAATGCAACAAGAAGAGCTATCTATCCTAAATATATATGCACCCAATATTGGAGCACTCAGATTCATAAAACAAGTTCTTAAAGAACTATAAAGAGACTTAGACTCCCACACAATAATAGTGGGAGACTTTAACACCCCACTCTCAATATTAGACAGATGAGTGAGGCAGAAAATTAGGAAGGATATTCAGGACTTGAACTCATCTCTGGACCAAGCAGACCTAATAGACATCTACAGAACTCTCCACCCGAAATCAACAGAATATATATTCTTCTCAGCACCACAATGCACTTATTCTAAAATAGACCACATAATTGAAAGTAAAACACTCCTCAGCAAATGCAAAAGAACGGAAATGATAACAAACGTCTCTCAGACCACAGTGCAATTAAATTAGAACTCAAGATTTAAAAACTCACTCAAAGCTGCACAACTCCATGGAAACTGAACAACCTGCTACTGAATGACTACAGGGTAAATAATAAAATTAAGGCAGAAATAAATAAATTCTTTAAAACCAATGAGAACAAATACAGAAGGTACCAGAATCTCTGAGACACAGCTAAAGCAGTGTTTAGAGGGAAATAGCACTAAATGCCCATAGGAGAAAGCTGAAAAAAAATCTAAAATCGACACCCTAACATCACAATTAAAAGAACTAGAGAAGCAAGAAAAGAAATTCAAAAGCTAGAAGAAGACAAGAAATAACTAAGATCAGAGAAGAACTGAAGAAGATAGAGACACAAAAAGCACTTTAAAAAATCAATGAACCCAGAAGTTGGTTTTTTGAAAAGATTAACAAAATAGATAGACCACTAGCCAGACTACTGAAGAAGAAAAGAGAGAAGAATCAAATAGACACAATAAAAAATGATAAAGAGGATATCACCACAGTTCCCACAGAAATACAAACTACCATCAGAGAATACTTGATGAAATGTATCTCAAAATAGTAAAAGCTATTTATGACAAACACACAGCCAATATCATACTCAATGGGCAAAAACTGGAAGCATTCCCTTTGAAAACCGGCAAAAGAAAAAGATGCCCTCTCTCACCAATCCTATTCAACATAGTATTGGAAGTTCTGGCCAGGGCAATCAGGCAAGAGAAAGAAATAAAGGGTATTCAAATAGGAAGAGAGGAAGTCAAATTGTCTCTGTTTTCAGATGACATGATTGTATATTTTGAAAACCACATCGTCTCAGCCCAAAACCTCGTTAAGCTGATAAGCAACTTCAGCAAAGTCTCAGGATACAAAATCAAAGTGCAAAAATTGCAAGCATTCCTATACACCAATAATAGACAGAAAGCCAAATCATGAGTGAACTGCCATTCACAATTGCTACAAAGAGAATAAAATACCTAGGAATACAACTTACAAGGGATGTGAAGAACCTCTTCAAGGAGAATTACAAATCACTGCTCAAGGAAATAAGACAGGACACAAACAAATGAAAAATGTTCCATGCTCATGGATAGGAAGAATCAATATTGTGAAAATGGCTATACTGTGCAAAGTAATTTATGGATTCACTGCTATCCCCATCAAGCTACCATTGACTTTCTTCACAGAATTAGAAAGAAACTACTTTAAATTTCATATGAAACCAAATATTCAAGACAATCCTAAGCAAAAAGAACAAAGTTGGAGACATCATGCTATCTGACTCAAACTATACTACAAGGGTACAGTAACCAAAACAGCATGGTACTGGTACCAAAACAGATATATAGACCTATATATAAAACAGAACACAGGCCTCAGAAATAACACCACACATCTACAACCATCTGATCTTTGACAAACCTTACAAAACAAGCAATGAGAAAAGGATTCCCTATTTAATAAATGGTGTTGGGAAAACTGGCTAGCCATATGCAGAAAACTGAAACAGGACCCCTTCCATACACCTTATACAAAAATTAACTCAAAGTGGATTAAAGACTTACATGTAAGACCTAAAACCATAAAAACCCTAGAAGAAAACGTAGACAATACCATTCAGGACAAAGGCATGGGCAAATACTTCATGACTAAAACATGAAAGCAATGGCAACAAGAGCCAAAATTGACAAATGGGACCTAATTAAACTAAAGAGCTTCTGCACAGCAAAAGAAACTATCGTCAGAGTGTACAGGAAACCTACAGAATGGGAAAAATGTTTGCAATCTATCCATCTGACAAAATCTATCCATCCAAAATCTACAAGGACCTTAAACAAATTAACCAGACAAAAACTAACAATCACATCAAAAAGTAGGTGAACGATATGAATAGACACTTCTCAAAAGAGGACATATATGTGGCCAACAAAAATATGAAAAAAAGCTCATCATCACTGGTCATTAGTGAAATGCAAATCAAAACCTCAATGAAATACCATCTCACGACAGAACGGCTTTCATTAAAAAGTCAGGAAATCCCAGCACTTTGGGAGGCCGAGGCGGGCGGATCACGACGTCAGGAGATCGAGACCATCCCGGCTAAAGCGGTGAAACCCCGTCTCTACTAAAAATACAAAAAAATTAGCCGGGCGTAGTGGCGGGCGCCTGTAGTCCCAGCTACTTGGGAGGCTGAGGCAGGAGAATGGCGTGAACCCGGGAGGCGGAGCTTGCAGTGAGCCGAGATCCCGCCACTGCACCCCAGCCTGGGCGACAGAGCGAGACTCCGTCTCAAAAAAAAAAAAAAAGTCAGGAAACATCAGATGCTGGACAAGTTGTGGAGAAATAGGAATGCTTTTACACTGTTGGTGGAAGTGTAAATTAGTTCAGCCATTGTGGAAGACAGTGTGGCGATTCCTCAAGGATCTAGAAACAGAAATACCATTTGTCCCAGCAATCCCATTACTGGATATATACCCAAAAGATTATAAATCATTATACTATAAAGACACATTCACACTTATGTTTATTGCAGCACTATTCACAATAGCAAAACTTGGAACCAACCCAAATGCCCATAAATAATACACTGGATAAAGAAAATGTGGCACATATACACCATGGAATACTATGCCACCATTAAAAAGAATGAGTTCATGTCCTTTGCATGGACATGGATGAAGCTGGAAACCATCATTCTCAGCAAACTAACACAGGAACAGAAAACCAAACACGGCATGTTTTCACTCATAAATGGGAGCTGAACAATGAGAACACATGAACACACTGAGGGAAACATCACACGCCAGGGCTTTTCTGGGATTCGGGGGCTAGAGGAGGGATATCTTTAGGAGCAATACCTAATGTAGATGATGGGTTGATGGGTGCAGCAAACCACCATGGCACGTGTATACCTATGTAACAAACATGCATGTTCTTCACATGTATCCCAGAACTTAAAGTATAATAAAAAAAGGAAAAAGAAAGAAATAGAAGACTCAGACATAAAATGTTATGCATTTCTTTTACATTACTAATAAATACACAATCCTCGAAGATGATAACGACTGTATTTGTATTTAAATGAACTGCAGTGGAAGAAAAAAAGCATTTCATATTCATAGTTTTCTAGGTATCCTTATCTAATCTAACAAATCTCCACTTGCTAATCATTTCTAATTTCCATCACTCAGCTATAGGTCAGAGCAGGTAATATTGGATGAGAAAATAGAAGGGATTCTTTAAGAACATTCTCATTTCTTCTGACTCCCACCTGCAGAGCGTATCTTACATGTTTGTGAAGAGATTGTTGCTCTAATTTTAAAAGGGAAAGTTGGCTTGAATAAGAATGTCTTGAGGAAGTGGACACATGGAAAAAAATTTGTTTCAAAATTATATATTACTATTTGGCTATTCGATTTAAAGCTACAAAGAAATAGATGTCAGGTGAAGCTCAGTGAGGATGCTGGGTCAATGAATCTAAATATCTAACTGGGCATGGCAAAGATCAAGAAAGCAGGAGAATGTCAGTGTCACAGGATGCATATGGTATTTACAGAGAATTTAGAAACTCTTAAAGAGGGTTGAGGCATGACAGATTGCTGTCAGAGCATTGAAAAGTAGAGAGAGCCTTAAAAAAAGATAGACTCTTAGAAAGAGCAGTAATATGAATAATAACTTTTATAGGTCATGCTCAATAGTTTTTGAACTACACACCAAAATAGCCTTCTTTCTTTCAGATATGAATTTCTTTGTTAGAAGTGGTTAGCCCTATTAGAAAACTTTAGGCTAGAAGAAGAAAGAGCTATGTTAATTGCTCTTGAGTAGGGGAGGGCAAGAAAATGTATTGAATCATTAATTAAAAATAAGTTTAACCTCAGCTGAATTATCATATTAAGTGACATTTTTTGTAAGCCAAATCCTCTATATTTTTGGAAGAAAGCAAGAAGTAGCCCCTCCGTGGTTCAGTGGGAAGATCTTCTCATCAAACTATCATGCTTTTCCAGCTAGAAAATTATGAGGTTATAGAACACAGCAAGATTCTTGATATACAGTAATATTTGGAAAAAATGAAGTTGCCTGCCCATTTATTGTGTTTAAAAGAACTCCTGGGCAGTGGCACAAAAAAGCCAGGTGGGTGAGGCTGAATTACTTACTAATCTGTAAGTTTTTTAGGAACTATTACTCCAGGGGCAGAGAATCACCTTTTTAACTCTTTTACCTAAATATATGTAACCCCCTTTCCAAGTTTAACATGGCCTCTCTAAATCTATCCCCATTATTAACTGATATGCTCATCCCTTGAGTCATTCTTTGACATTTACAGCACACAGCATAGTGGAAAGAATATAGGATTTGGATCTCTAAAGGTCTCAGAGGGAACACTGACTCACGTGCTCTGAGAAATTGAGCAATTAACCTCTTGAGGCCTAGTTTCTTCATCTCTAAAATATGAATTGTACTTATCTCATGTAGTTATTGAGAAGATCAAATAAGATTATGTTTAAAGTACCCAGTGCATAATAGTTACTCAAAAATTGAGAGCTGCTAGTTGTAGCATAGGCTTATTCTTTAGCGTTTATACTCTAGGCATAGATTGCAGTACCTGGGGAGAACAAATAGGGACAGGCATGTTTCTGTGGGGTGAGGGAAGGAGCAATGAGAATATACACATTAGTGAATGACTTAGCAAGGCAGAACTCAGATGACAGGACTCCTGAGGGAATCTGGAATTTTGGACTCAGAGTAAAGAAACCCACTCCATTCATTCAATCAACAAATACTTATTAAGCATGTAACTTGGAGTAGGTAAGTGAGGTACTTTGATATAATAGTAACATCGGTGTACTGATGGTCTTAATGAAATGGGAGGATTTGGGAAATCAGAATTCTAGAGCAAATAAACCTGAATTTGGAGGTAGTGAATCACAGCATGACTTTCTGAAATTAAAACTGTGGAAAAACTATATTTATTAGGAACTAGAGGATCTGTAGTAGGGTCAGCAACTTTTACTTAAAAAGCCAGGTAATAAATATTTTAGACTTTGTGGGCCAAGAAGGAGAATTGAAAATATAATGTGGGTACTAACATTACCATGTTAAATGTGACCGGGTTGCATGCCAGATTTGGCCAGTGGGCTGTACTTTGCCCAACCTTGACATAAAATACGATTACTTGAGTGTATGTCTGTGGTAGGATAGAGGACTAGATGATTGAGATAGGAGACTTCACAGGACTGAGATGCCAAGGTGATAAGGGAAAAAGAATTCATTCTTTTCAGTGGAAATTCAGGAAGACCAGTGGAACCAGTGAGATACTGTCAGAGACAGTTTATTGACAGCAGTGCAAGTTAACTCAACATAGTGATGGTCAAAGAGAATGGGGAATGGAAAATTCATAAGAGAGAGACTTGTAATACCTACTTACACAAAGGAGGCTCTGATACAAAAACTGAAGGGACAAGGGTAGAGGTAGGGGTCATGCAATGGATCTTTTTAGCAGATGACTGTGATTCTGTGTGGAGGCCTAAAGCAAACACTTCCTCACCTGATGTGCTACAATATGTTCTCTTAGATGTGATATGAAGGAGTCCAACTGCATTAAAACAGTAAAGAATTTAGTTGGGTATGGTGCCTCACACCTGTAATCCCAGTACTTCAGAAGGCTGAGGCAGGCAGATTGCTCAAGCCCAGGAATTTAAAACCAACCTAGGCAACATGGTGAAACCCCATACCTACAAAAATATACCAAAAATAGCCAGGAATTGTGGCATACACCTGTACTCCCAGCTACTCAAGAGGCTGAGGCAGAAGGCTCACATAAGTCCTGGAAGGTCGAGGCTGCAGTGAGCCGTGATTGTGCCACTGCACTACAGGCTGGGTGACAGAGTAAGATCCTGCCTCAGAAGAAGGAAAAAAAAGAAAAGGAAAGAAAAAATAAAGTATTTGGTGGACTGACTGAAAACTCATAAATATAAATCAGAAGTGTCCCTCCTCTTTAATACTCCTTTGCTAGGTTTTTCTTTATGTAGGACAGAAGAAAATTTATAGTCCAGTGCTATTCTTTTCCATTGCCTATCCATATTTGTCATTTGGTGACAAATATGCAGTGGAGATTCATACTGTTCCTGGGTCGCACCTTCCTTAAGGATTTTCTTCTGAATTGTGGTAGTGACACTCTCTTGCTGATTGCAGTAAATGTTCCAAATCCCTAGAATATATAAATAAAGCCCATGACTGTTCTTGTGCATGAATTGGCATTGCTCCACCATAGTTCTTCTCCAGACCTGTCCTTGAGTAGGATCTGATCCTTGGGCAGGAACTTGTAGAAGCTGGCTTAGCCTGTGGCACAGTCTAGAGCAGAGTGCCTCAGGCTCCATGTGCAGTACAAATGTCATCTCTGTTGCCCATCCTAGGCCAAACTATATTAGTCCATTCTTGCACTGCTATAAAGAACTACCTGAGACTGGATAATTTTTTTTTTAAAAGTTCAATTGGCTCACAGTTCTGCAGGCTGTACAGCAAGCATGGCTAGGGAGGCCTTAGGAAACGCACAATCATGTACAAAGGCAAAGGGAGACAGGCATGTCTTACATGGCCAGAGAAGGAGGAAGAGAGAGAAGTAGGTGCAGCACATTTTATTATTATTATTATTATACTTTAAGTTTTAGGGTACATGTGCACAATGTGCAGGTTTGTTACATATGTATACATGTGCCATGTTGGTGTGCTGCACCCATTAACTCGTCATTTAAAATTAGGTATATCTCCTAATGCTATCCCTCCCCCCTTCCCCCACCCCACAACAGGCCCCAGCGTGTGATGTTCCCCTTTTTGTGTCCATGTGTTCTCATTGTTCAATTCCCACCTGTGAGTGAGAACATGCAGTGTTTGGTTTTTTGTCCTTGCGATAGTTTACTGAGAATGATGGTTTCCAGTTTCATCCGTGTCCCTACAAAGGACATGAACTCATCCTTTTTTATGGCTGCACAGTATTCCATGGTGTATATGTGCCACATTTTCTTAATCCAGTCTATCATTGTTGGACATTTGGGTTGGTTCCAAGTCTTTGCTATTGTGAATAGCACCGCAAAAAACATACGTGTGCATGTGTCTTTATAGCAGCATGTTTTATAATCCTTTGGGTATATATCCAATAATGGGATGGCTGGGTCAAATGGTATTTCTAGTTCTAGATCCCTGAGGAATCGCCACACTGACTTCCACGATGATTGAACTAGTTTACAGTCCCACCAACAGTGTAAAAGTGTTCTTATTTCTCCACATCCTCTCCAGCACCTGTTGTTGCCTGACTTTTTAATGATCGCCATTCCAACTGGTGTGAGATGGTATCTCATTGTGGTTTTGATTTCCATTTCTCTGATGCCCAGTGACGGTGAGCATTTTTTCCTGTGTTTTTTGGCTGCATAAATGTCTTCTTTTGAGAAGTGTCTGTTCATATCCTTCGCCCACTTTTTGATGGGGTTGTTTGTTTTTTTCTTGTAAATTTGTTTGAGTTTATTGTAGATTCTGGATATTAGCCCTTTGTCAGATGAGTAGGTTGTGAAAATTTTCTCCCATTTTGTAGGTTGCCTGTTCACTCTGATGGTAGTTTCTTTTGCTGTGCAGAAGCTCTTTAGTTTAATTACATCCCATTTGTCAATTTTGGCTTTTGTTGCCATTGCTTTTGGTGTTTTAGACATGAAGTCCTTGCCCATGCCTATGTCCTGAATGGTAATGCCTAGGTTTTCTTCTAGGGTTTTTATGGTTTTAGGTATAACGTTTAAGTCTTCCACTATTATTGTATGGGGGTCTAAGTTTCTTTGTAGGTCTCTAAGAACTTGCTTTATGAATCTGGGTGCTCCTGTATTGGGTGCATATATATTCAGGATAGTTAGGTCTTTCTTTTACATGGATCCTTTTACCATTATGTAATGCCCTTCTTTGTCTCTTTTGATTTTTTTTTGTTTTTTGTTTTTTGGTTTAAAGTCTGTTTTATCAGTGGTTAGGATTTCAGCCACTTTTTTTTTTATTTCTATTTGCCTAGAAAATATTCCTCCATCTCTTTATTTTGAGCTTATGTGTGTCTTTGCATGTAAGATGGGTCTCCTGAATACAGCACATCAATGGGTCTTGACTCTTTATCCAATTTATCAGTCTGTGTCTTTTAATTGGGGCTTTTAGCCATTTACATTTAATTTTAATATTGTATGTGTGAATTTGATCCTGTCATTATAATACTAGCTGGTTATTTTGCATATTAGTTGATGCAGTTTCTTCATAGTGTTGATGGTCTTTACATTTTGGCATGTTTTTGCAGTGGCTGGTACCTATTTTTCCTTTCCATATTTAGTGTTTCCTTCAGGAGCTCTGTAACACATGCCTGGTGGTGACAAAATCTCTCAGCATTCGCTTGTCTGTAAAAAAATTTTATTTCTTCTTCACTTATGAGGCTTAGCTTGGATAGATATGAAATTCTGGGTTGAAATATTTTTTTAAGAATGTTGAATATTGGCCCCCTCTCTCTTCTGGCTTGTAGGGTTTCTGCGGAGAGATCCACTATTAGTCTGATGGGCTTCACTTTGTGGGTAATCTGACCTTTCTCTCTGTCTGCCCTTCACATTTTTTCCTTCATTTCAACCTTTGTGAATCTAATAATTATGTGTCTTGGGGTTGCTCTTCTCAAGGAGTATCTTTGTGGTATTCTCTGTATTTCCTGACTTTGAACTGTGGCCTGTCTTGCTAGGTTGGGGAAGTTCTCCTGGATAATATCCTGAAGTGTGTTTTCCAACTTGGTTCCCTTCTCCCCATTACTTTAAGGTACACTAATCAAATGTAGGTTTGGTCTTTTCACATAGTTCCATATTTCTTGGAGGCTTTTTTCATTCCTTTTCATTCATTTTACTTTAATCTTGTCTTCATGCTTTATTTCATTAAGTTGATCTTCAGCCTCCAGTATCTTTTCTTCTGCTGGATCGATTTGGCTATTGATACTGGTGTATGCTTCACAAAGTTCTCATGCTGTGTTTTTCAGCTCCATCAGCTCATTTATATTCTTCTATAATCTGGTTATACCAGTTAGCAGTTCCTGTAACCTTTTATCAAGGTTTTAACTTCCTTGCATTGGGTTAGAACTTGCTCCTTTAGCTCAGAAGAGTTTGTTGTTATCCACCTTCTGAAGTCTACTTCTGTCAATTTGTCAAGCTCATTCTCCATCCAGTTTTTTCCCTTGCTGGTGAAGAGTTGTGATTTTTTGAAGGAGAGGAGGCATTCTAGTTTTTGTAATTTTCAGCCTTTTTGTTCTTTTTTTTTTTTTTTTTCATCTTCTTGGATTTATCTACCTTTGGTGATAAATGTTTGATGTTGGTGACCTTTGGATGCAGTTTCTGTGTGAGTGTCCTTTTTGTTGATTTTGATGCTATTGATTTCTGTTTGTTAGTTTTCTTTCTAACTGTCAGGCCCCTCTTCTGCAGGTCTGCTGGAGTTTGCTGGAGGTCCACTCCAGACTCTGTTTGCCTGAGTATCACCAGCATAGGCTGCAGAACTTCAAAGACTGCTGCCTGCTCCTTCCTCTGGAAGCTTCATCCCAGAGTGGTACCCACCAGATGGCAGCCAGAGCTCTCCTGTATGAAGTGTCTGTCAATCCTACTGGGAGGTTCTCCCCATCAGAAGGCTTGGGGGTCAGGGACCCACTTGAGTAGGCAGTCTGTCTCTTAGCAGAGCTTGAGTGCTGTGCTGGGAGATCCACTGTTCTTTTTAGAGCTGGCAGGCAGGAACGTTTAAATCTGCTGAAGCTGCACTCACAGCTGCCCCTTTCGCCAGGTGATCTGTCCAAGGGAGATGAGAGTTTTATCTATAAGCCCCTGACTGGGGCTGCTGCCTTTATTTCAAAGATGCCCTGCCCAGAGAGGAGGAATCTAGAGAGGCAGTCTGGCTACCCAGGCTTTGCCACACTCCAGTGGGTTTCTCACCCAGTTAGAATTTCCAGGCAGTTTGTTTACACTCTGAGGTGTAAACTGCCTACTGCAGCCTCAGTAATGGCAGATGACCTTCCCTGCACCAAGCTTGAGCATCCCAGGTTGACATCAGACTGCTGTGCTGGCAGTGAGGATTTCAAGCCAAGGGATCTTAGCTTGTTGGGCACTGTGGGGATGGGATCTGCTGAGCAAGACCACTCAGCTCCCTGACTTTAGCTCCCTTTCCAGGGGAGTGAGCAGTTGTCTTGCCTTTGTTCCAGGCACCACTGGGGTAGGAAAAAAGACTCCTGCAGCTAGCTTGGTGTCTGCCCAAACAGCCTCCCAGTTTTGTGCTTGAAACCCAGGGCCCTGGTGGTGTAGGCACCAGAACAAATCACCTGGTCTGCAGGTTGCAAAGACTGTGGGAAAAGCATAGCATCTGAGCTGGATAATGCCATCCCTCAGGTCACAGTCCCTTATGGCTTCCCTTGGCTAGAGGAGGGAGTCCCCTGACCTCATGCACTTCGCAAGTGAGGTGATGCCCCACCCTGCTTCTGCTGGCCCTCTGTGGGCTGCACCCACTGTCTAACTAGTCCAAGTAAGAGGAACCGGGTACGTCAGTGGGAAATGCAGAAAACACCCACCTTCTGCATTGGTCTCGCTGGGAACTGCCGACCAGAGCTGTTCCTGTTCTGCCATCTTGCCTGGGAATCAACATTACTTTTAAACCAAAGACATTAATATCTGGGCAATACTTGAAAGGTAGCATCACATAGGGTGCTCTGTAACCTTTACATTGAATCTTGAGCCATTATCATGAAGGGTCAGGTGAGTTTCATGTATTTGGCTAATGGTTATGGACATTTAGAACAGCAGAAGAATCTATCTCTAACTCTGTTTTTACTGTGACTTAAAAAAAATACAAGATTATACAGTAGATCCTAAAGTATCTTCATAAAATATTCTAGCATAGAACAACACTGAGCTTTCTCAGGTTATATTCTCCCTCACTTCATCAAAGGTGAAGGTTTACAATAATGTCATTCTCTTTGACTTAATGTAGCCAACATTTTTGCTTGTCTTAAAAAGAACATCTCTGAGCTTCCAAGTCTTGGCATGTATCTGGTATAGAGAGAGAGTAAATTTTTTAACATGCCCGTCTATATTTTAGTGTTAATAAACATTGATTTAGAATAAGAAAATGAATGATGAATAAATGATAAAAACCAAGCGTTTGATTTGTTGCTGTGTGAGAATATAAATAACAGAGTCCAGAATGGTGTATTGGCCTCTAACAGGAGATATTTAAAAAGTATTGACTTACTGAAAAAGGGATTTTACCCTATAGTCAATCAATGCTTCATGTACCTTTCTCATATATAGAATTCAGGAGGATAAGTGACATAAATGGCTCCTTAAAAATGCCTGTTACAAAACAAACAAACAAACAAAAACTACAGCTGTCTTATTTTTGATGAAAGGGCTCAATATAGGTATTTACAACCACGTAGATGAAAGAGAAAACTCATGGTTTAGCCAGAGGTTTAGCAATTCTTCAACCAAGTTTACCATAAAAACCAGATCTTATGTCCACAAAAATATATACTTTGATGTATTTATATGATATTATTTAAGTAATCTATATATGAACTTGGAATATATGTATAACTTGAAGAATATATAGAAATTTTATATATATGTAAATATAAATATAAATACATATATACATATGTTTTAGACAATAGAAAATGGCCATTTTACAATTTTGGCCCAGAAAAAGATCCTTGCAAAAATCACAATTTTGGATGAATTTTGATATTATACAAAGTGAAACACATTAATAAACTATTTGGCGAAGAGGAACAAAGAATTCTGTGTAAAAATATATATATATATATATATATATAATTTGAAAGACTCATTTAGTTAGCTCCAGTGAGTCACAGGTATGTAATACCTATGCTCACTGAAGGCATGCATTTTCTTCCAGAGAATATGGCTATCACTGACTTACTCAACATTTCTTTTTAATGTGTTAAAAACGGGAAAAAATACACTGTAGAAATTTTTATTTGCTCATGTTAAAGGAAAAAAAATTGCACCTGCAGGGAGAATAATGGCTCAAAATTCAGTATGTTTTTTAAAATATCGAAAATCAACCTTAGATTTCAACCTCCTACAAATTACCTTATTTCAAGATTTATTGAGCCATACGCTGTCTGGCATCAAGGTTCCTCAGCCACAGTGAGATAGAATAATGCATTTGCTTATTCCAGTCCCAGGGGGACCATAATGTGATTGTCTGTTAATGGCTTTGTTCACAAAGCTCAAAGCAAAGGATAGATTTGGCAATCACAGAAAGGTGCCAACTAACAAACAAATTTTGTTCCAAGACCTATTTGTTTATTCATTTATTCATCTATGTATCTATCTATCTATCTACCTATCAATCTATCTATCCATCGATGAATCAGTTACTAGAAATGCACAATATACCATTTCACATGAACAAAGCAACAAACAGAAGTTAGGCTTCCAGGGAAGTCCATTGAATGCAATTATTACAGAGTTCAGTATAGGTATTGAAGTACTAGACAAGGTTGGGGAACTCTTGCTGCTTTCCTAGACGCCTGATAAAGGTTGGGCAGTGATGGTCACCCCATCCTGACTTAACAGGGATCTCTCAGACCTCAGACTGCTTCCCATACTCTAAAACAATTAGTATGATCTTTAGTCACATGCAGGGTATACGTAAGGTGCTTACGCCTAATTTGGAGAATATGTCCATCTGATTAATTAGATCAATATAGGAAACATATTTGCATAATTCTGGGCACAAAGTAATAAGTTTATTTGGCTTCAAAAGATCTAGTTTGGCTTATGGCGTAGTTAAGTTTTTGACTGATTTCTATGTTTTTGCTTGGTAGATTTAGCAATTGGAATAAAAAGCTTTGCCTAAAGTGTTGTTTAGCAGTTTATGTCTCTAAATCAACTATAATAAGAGTAGTCACTAAACAGTTTGAAATAAGTAATCTTTATTCTTATATATCCCAAAGTATTCAGTACTGCAGAAACCCAAGCTCCTTTATTTTTGACTCTTTAATTTTTCCACTGAAAAATAAATCAAGTTAATTCTGACACTATGTGAATTTGAGTTTATTCAATTTCAAGAGACAGTCCAGAAATCTTTCTTATTTCTTATTTATAGTGTCCATTTTGCAAACTGTTCTCATTCCCATGTTTCTTACCAGCCATTAAATGCCCTGTTTCTATGTTCTTTCCAAATTCTCTCTCTCTCACTAAATTATTAAACAATTCCCACTGCAACTTCTTTCCTTAAGTTAGGAGAGCCAAAAAAGGGCAGTATCAGGCATAGTAAAGCACAGAATTCTTTGTTCCTCTTCGCCAAATGGTTTATTAATGTGTTTCACTTTGTCTAATGTCAAAATTCATCCAAAATTGTGATTTTTGCAAGGATCTTTTTCTGGGCCAAAATTGTAAAATAGCCATTTTCTATTGTTTAAATCTATATTTATTAACTTATGAAAAATTTAAAAATCCGGTAAATGTGTATGTTTTTCAAACTTTAAAAGGTTACATTTTGGTTGCTGCTAAACATATTTTATGATCCAGAGAGAAATTGTTAAAATTAATATTAACTACTGCATTTAAGAATTTTCTATATTAAACAAGGACAATATTTTTGATATTTAGTGACTATAAATATAGTTTAAAATTATTACTCAAGTAATCTATAACTGCTTCAATGACATTGAATTTCACCTTCTTTGCCTTTTTTAATTTTCTTTCTTTTTATAATTAATATGAGTATAAATTAATTTTTAAAAATTTTAAAATTTTGCAATGTTCTTTCAGAATAATTAAAAGCACTAGGTTTAGTCTCAGAAGAACTTAAATATGGGTACTGGAATAATATATTAACATAGATTAGGGAACAAATAAAATAGATTTTAAAATGTAAAGTAACAATGTAATCATTATAATTAAATGCTAATATCTGCAGGAACTAACTCTCAAAGTTTTTAACAAATGTATCTAAATACCTGTGTGGTAAACTCAAGTAATTTCCTTTATTTATTTATTTACTCATTCATTCATTCTTTCATTCATTCATTCAGTTTGTATTAGGGATTCAGAGGGTACATGTGCAGATTTTTTACATGGGTATATTGCATGATGCTGAGGTTTGGGGTACAAATGATCCTGTAACCCAGATAGTGAGCTACCTAATAGCCCACTCTCTCCCTCACTGCTCTGGTCCTCCCTGTTATCTATTGTTCCCATCTTTCCCTCCATGTGTATTCAATGTTTAGTTTCCACATATAAGTGAGAACATGCAGTATTTAGGTTTTTGTTCCTGCATTAGTTCACTTAATTCACTAAGGATAATGGTCTTCAGCTGCATTCATGCTGCTGCAGAGGACATTCCATGGTGTTCACGTACCATATTTTCTTTATCTCGTCCACCATTTATAGGCAGTTAGGTTGAGTCCATGTTTTTGCTATTGTGAATAGTGCTGCAATGAATATAAGAGTGCATGTATCCTTCAGGTAGAATAATTTATTTTCCTTGGGGTATATACATATATATAGTAATGGAATTGCTGGATTGAATGTTAGCTCTGTTATAAGTTCTTTGATAAATTTCCAAACTGCTTTCCACAGTGGCTGAACTAATTTGCAGTCCTATCAACACTGTATAAGTGTTCCATTTCTTCAGGGCCTTGCCAGCATCTGTTGTTTTCTGACTTTTTCATAGTAGCCATTCTGACTATTGTGACATAGTACCTCATTATGGTTTTGATTTGCATTTCTCTGATAATTAGTGATAAGCATTTTTTCCTATGTTTGTCAGCTGCTTTTATGTCTTCTGTTAAGAAGTGTCTGTTCAAATCTTTTGCCCATTTCTTAATTGGATTTTTATTTTTTGCTTGTTAATTTGTTTAAATGCTTCCTTGATTCTGGATATAGAAACTTTGTTGGGTGAATAGTTTGCAAATATATTTTTCTCCTATTCTGTAAGTTGTCTGTTTACTCTGTTGATAATTTATTTTGCTGTGCAGATACTCTTTAATTAGGTCCCACTTCTAAATTTTTATTTTTGTTGCAATTGCTTTTGGGGACTTGGTCATAAATTCTTTGCCAAAGCTTACATTGAGAAGGTAATTTTCTAGGTTGTCTTTTAGGATTTCTATAGTTTTTATAGCCTGACATTTGACTATTTCCTCTATCTTTTGCTAATTTTTATCCATGTTAAAAGGTAGGGGTCCAATTTCATTCTTATGCATATGGATAACCAGTTATCACAGCAACATTTATTGAATTGAGAGTCCTTTTCCCATTGCTTATTTTTGTCAACTTTATTGAAGATTAGATAGCTGCAAGTGAGCAGGTTTATTTCT
This sequence comes from Homo sapiens, assembly GCF_000001405.40. Taxonomy (NCBI): domain Eukaryota; kingdom Metazoa; phylum Chordata; class Mammalia; order Primates; family Hominidae; genus Homo; species Homo sapiens. The sequence goes on along the minus strand of NC_000006.12, from coordinate 68,200,597 downwards.
GGGCTCTCTATTCTGTTCCATTGGTGTATGTGTCTGTTTTTGTACCAGTACCATGCTGTTCTGATTACTGTAGCGTTATTGTATAGTTTGAAGTTGGGTAAAGTGATGATTCCTGCTTTGCTCTTTTTGTTTAGGATTGCTTTGACTATTTGGGATCATTCTGGGTTCTGTATAAATTTTAGAACAATTTTTTTTCTATTTCTGTGAAAAATGACATTGGTATTTTTTAATGAATGGCATTGAATTTGTAAATGGCTTTTGGAAATATGATCATTTTAATAAAATTAATTTTTACAATCCATGAGCATGGAACATTTTTCCATTTATTTGTGTTGCCTCTGGTTTCTTTCACAGTGTTTTGTAGTTTTCCTTGTGGAGATCTATTACCTTCTTGGTTAGATGTATTTCCAGGTAATTCATTTTGTTGTGACTATTTTAATTGGGACTGTATTCTTGTTTTGGCTCACAGCTAGAACATTATTGGTGTGTAGAAACACGACTTATTTTTGCACATTAATTTTGTATCCTGCACCAAATTAATGTTTATCACATATATGGACCTTTTGGTTGAATCTTTAGGGTTTCCATATAGAATCATATCACCAGCAAAGAGAGATAGTTTGAATTCTTCTTTTCCTATTTAGGTGCATTTTATGTCTTTCTCTTGCCTCATTGCTCTGGCTAGGACTTCCTGTATAAAGTTGAATAGCAGTGGTGAGAGTAGGCATCCTTGTCTTGTTTCAGTTCTCAAGGGGAATGGTTCCAGCTTTTGCCTGTTCAATATGATGTTGAATGTGGATTTGTCATACATGGCTCTTATTTTTTTCAGAATATTCCTTCAATACCCAGTCTATTAAGGGTTTTTATTATAGGAGGATGTTGGATTTTTATCAAACACTTTTTCATTGTCAATTAAGGTGATTTTTTTGACTCTGTATATGTGGTGAATAACATTATTTGTGTATATTGAAACAAACTTACATCCCAGAAATAAAGCCTACTTGAATTAAGTTTTTAATGTACTGCTGGATTTGGTTTACTAGTATTTTGTTGAGGATTTTTGTGTCTATGTTCATCAGGGGTATTGGCTTATAGTTGTCTTTCTTTGTTGTGTCTCTGCCAGATTTTGGTATAAGGATCAAGCTGACTTTGCAGAATGAGTTAAGGAGGAGCAACTCTGCCTTAATTTTCTTGTAACAGTTTTAGTAGGATTGGCACCAATCTTTTTTGTATATCTCACAGAATTCAGCTACAAACCAATCTGATCCAGGGCTTTCTTGTATTAGTAACTGTTTTATTATTGATTCAATTTCGGAACTTGTTATTGATCTGTTCGGGCTTTCACTTTCTTCCTGGTTCAATCTTGGCAGATTGTGTGTTTCCTGGAATTCAGCCATTTCCTCCAGATTTTCTAATTTGTGTGCATAATTGTCTATGAGGATTCTGGTATTTCTGTGGATTGGTTGTAATGTCTTCTTTGACATTTCTGACTGGGGTTATTTGGATCTTTTGTTTTGTTGTTTTTCTTTGTTAATCTAGCTGGAGGTCTGTCAATCTTGTTTATTCTTTCAGAGATCCAATTATTGGTTTCCTTGATCTTTTGTGTGGATTTTTGTGTCTCAATTTCTTATAGTTCTTCCCTTATTTTAGTTATTTCTTTTTTACTGCTAGCTTTGGGGTAGGTTTTTTTCATTTTTCCAAGTTCCTCTTAACACTGGTTATCTAGATCCTAAAGATTTCTGTAAGTTGTGTCTCCACTTTTCACTAGTTTCAAATAATGTTTTGATTTCTGCCAGGAGAAAGTTGTTTAAAATCCATGTTTTGTGTACTTTTGAGAGATCTTCTTGGTATTGACTTATATTTTTATTGCACTATGGCCCAGGGGTGTACTTGATATGATTTCTATTTTTTGAATTAATTGAGATTTTTTTATTACCAAGCATGTGGTCAATTTTAAAGTATGTTGCTTGTGCAAATGAGAAGAATGTATATTTTGTGGTGGTTGGGTATAGTATTCTGAAGATGTCTATTGGGGCTAACTGGATGACTGCCAAGTTTAAGTTCAGAATTTCTTTGTTAGTTTTCTGCCTAGATGATAAGTCTAACACTGTCACTGGAATGTTGAAATTCCCACTATTATTGTATTGCTGTGTAAATCTTTTTGGAGGCCAAGAAGAACTTTTCTTAGTAATTTGAGTGCTCCAATCTTGAACCATTTATCATTATTTAATGCACTTATTTGTCCTTCCAAGTTACTGTTGGTTTAAAGTCTGTATTTTTCTGATATAAGAAGGGTGACTCTTGCTTTTTTTTTATGATAGATCTTTCTGCATCCCTTTACTTTGAGCGTTGTTACATGTGAAATGGGTCTTCTGAAGACAGCAGATGTTGGGTCTTGTCTTTTCATCCAATTTGCCTCTCTATGTCTTTTAAGTAAGATGTTTAGACTATTTACATTGAGGGTTAATAATGGTTAATAGTGATATATGAGATTTTTAACCTATCATTGTCTTGTTAGCTGGTTGTTTTGTAGATGTGACTGTGTAATTGCAATTTATATTGTCTGTGGGCTATGTGCTTAAGTGTGTTTTTGTGGTAGCAGGTATTGATCTTTCATTTCCATGATTAGCATTTCTTAAAGACCTCTTGTAAGGCTGGACTTGTGGTAATTAATTCCTTTTGTGTTTGCTTGTCTAAAATAATTTTATTTCTCCTTTGCTTAAGGAGCTTAGTTTGGCATGATTTGAAATTCTTGGTTTGAATTTCTTTTCTTTGAGGAGGCTGAAAATAGGTCCCCAATCTCTTCTGGCTTAAAAAGTTTCTGCTAAGACATCAACAGCCAGCCTGATGAGGTTCCCTTTGTAAGTGGCCTGATCTTTCTCTCTACCTGTCATTAAGATTTTTTTCTTTCACATTGACCTTGGTGAATCTGATGACTATGTGTCTTGCAGATGGTCATCTTGTATGGTATCTTGCAGGAGTCCTCTGTATTTCTTGAATTTTCCTATCAACCTCTCTAGTAAGATTGGGCAAATTTTCATGGACTAGATTCTCAAAATGTTTTCCAAGTTACTCACCTTCTCTCCTCTCTCAGGAATGCTATTCAGTTGTAGATTTGGCCTCAACATAATCTCATATTTTCTGGAGGTTTTCTTCATTGTTTAAAGCTCTTTTAATTTTTGTCCAATTGATTTTATTCTAAGAACCGGTCTGTCTGCATCTCAGATATTTTCCTCAGTTTGGTCTCTTCTGCTGTTAATATTTCTAACTGTATTAGGAAATTCTTGTAGTTATTTTTGCAGTTCCAGAAATTAAGTTTGGTTCTTTCTTAAAATGACTATTTTGTCTCTGATTCTTTTACTGGATTCTTTGGTTTCCTTGGACAGGGTTTTGGCTTTCTCCTAGACCTCAGTGAGCTTCTTGCCATCCAGATTATGAATTCTACAACTGACATTTTAGTCATTTCAATCTGTTTAAGAACCATTACTGAGGGGATAATGTGTCCCTTGGGAGGTAAGGGGACACTGACTTTTTGAATTGTCAGACTTCTTGAACTAGTTCTTTCTCATCTGTGAGGGCTGGTGGTCCTTTATCTACGACATAAATTGAGTATAGTCAGTTCGTTTCATTTCTGAATGTTTTTAGAAGGTCAGTGCTATGCACAGAATCTTTATTTGTGGCTGGATTCCTGCCTTAGGCTTCTTAGGTACTGTATACTGGCAAACTATTTTTGGTGTTGTAATTTGGGCTACAATCCAGTAGATGGCGGTTATGAATGATGGCCAGGAGATAGGCTCTTAGGCAAGCTGCTCTTTTTTTTTTTTTTTTTTTCCTATAGGAGGTACCTCTGACCTGAATCTTTTTTTTTAAATTTTAGTATTATTATACTTTAAGTTTTAGGGTACATGTGCACAATGTGCAGGTTTGTTACATATGTATACATGTGCCATGTTGGTGTGCTGCACCCCTTAACTCATCATTCCCCCCACTCCCCCCACCCCACAACAGTCCCCAGTGTGTGATGTTCCCCTTCCTGTGTCCATGTGATCTCATTGTTCAATTCCCATCTATGAGTGAGAACATGCGGGGTTTGGTTTTTTGTCCTTGAGATAGTTTGCTGAGAATGATGGTTTCCAGCTTCATCCATGTCCTTACAAAGGACATGAACTCATCATTTTTTATGGCTGCACAGTATTCCATGGTGTATATGTGCCACATTTTCTTAATCCAGTCTATCATTGTTGGACATTTGGGTTGGTTCCAAGTCTTTGCTTTTGTGAATAGTGCTGTAATAAACATACATGTGCATGTGTCTTTATAGCAGCATGATTTATAGTCCTTTGGGTATATACCCAGTAATGGGATGGCTGGGTCAAATGGTATTTCTACTTCTAGATCCCTGAGGAATCGCCACACTGACTTCCACAATGGTTGAACTAGTTTACAGTCCCAGCAACAGTGTAAAAGTGTTCCTATTTCTCCACATCCTCTCCAGCACCCGTTCTTTCCTGACTTTTTAATGATCGCCATTCTAACTGGTGTGAGATGGTATCTCATTGTGGTTTTGATTTGCATTTCTCTGATGGCCAGTGATGATGAGCATTTTTTCATATGTTTTTTGGCTGCATAAATGTCTTCTTTTGAGAAGTGTCTGTTCATGTCCTTTGCCCACTTTTTGATGGGGTTGTTTTTTTTTTTCTTGTAAATTTGTTTGAGTTTATTGTAGATTCTGGATATTAGCCCTTTGTCAGATGAGTAGGTTGCAAAAATTTTCTCCCATTCTGTAGGTTGCTTGTTCACTCTGATGGTAGTTTCTTTTGCTGTGCAGAAGCTCTTTAGTTTAATTAGATCCCATTTGTCAATTTTGGCTTTTGTTGCCATTACTTTTGGTGTTTTGTGGGAAAACTGGCTAGCCATATGTAGAAAGCTGAAACTGGATCCCTTCCTTACACCTTATACAAAAACTAATTCAAGATGAATTAAAGACTTACATGTTAGACCTAAAACCATAAAAACCCTAGAAGAAAACCTAGGCAATACCATTCAGGACATAGGCATGGCAAGGACTTCATATCTAAAACACCAAAAGCTGCTCTTTTGTAGTTAAGTGTGTTTACTATAGGGCTCTGTGGTGGGGTGGTGGAGAGAGATGACCCACTGACCATATCCATTCCTGGGCCTTGGAGGAGTCCCACGATCACTGGAGCCGTTCCTGTATTTCCTTTGTTAGATGTTCTGGGCCATGGGGAATTCCTCAGGCAGAGCCTGCAGCTGACAGACCACATTCCTTCCTGTGCTGGCCCTGCAGAGGGAGGCACTCCCTGCTTCCACACTGGCCCACAAGCCCACACATCTCAGCATTCTCAGTTTTCTGAGTGTGGAGACTCCTCTGCTAAGGCACTGCCAATCCAGTGAGTCAAGCCAGTGAAAGAACAGAGATCTGTGCCCTCCTGCAGTGTTCAGACAAGGGTGAAGCGACCATGCCGGGAGCCCAAGCTGGTGAGAACTGCCTGGCTAGGCACAGTGGGGGATGGGGAATAACATGATCTTCCATCTGAGTGTTTCTGGCAGGAACACAGCACTATGCCCACTCACAGGGTTCAGGCATGGGCAGGGCTGCTATGCTAGGAGTCCAAGCTGGGGAGACTTACCTGGCTAGACACAGCAGGCGGAGGGGGATTCACAAGGGTTGCTGTTCTGGTGTTTCCCGGGAAAGCTCAGCATCGTTCCTGCCTTCAGAGTTAAAGAAGACGCAGTGTTGCTGCACTGGAAGCTGAGCATAGCCTTGTCTAGCAAGGAGTGAGGCGAGCTGATTGCTCCCTGGAACTACAACTGTGGTCTCTATTGGAATTTATGGCAGTTGGTGCTGGGCTGCTCAGGGATGCAAGGGCTGTGGGGCTTCCTGTGGTCTTGAGCAGTGCTTCTGCAAAAGCTCCAAGCAGCTCTCTGTGTCAGTCTAGAGGCCCAAGGGGGTCAAGGGGTTTTTTCCATTCCCAGGATTGCAAAGGTCTCTATGGGAAGTGTGAACTTTCCAGGGGCTCTTACTATCTCAATCTTTCCATGAGTTAGGGAGCCCCTCCCAGCTCCTTGCTGCTCCTGGGTAGGTGACTACTCAGATTTGCTCTTCTATGTTCTTTGTGGGTCTCCTTTCTTCCTTCATGGCTCCTGACATGGTTTCTTAGATGCTCCACTTGAAGAGTCAGTATTTATGTGCCAGTTTGCTTCTTTTCCATGAGAATGGTGCACACTACCTGCTTCTAGTCAGCCATCTTGACCAAAAATACTTTTTTAAATATATAATAAAGAGGTTCTTATCCAGACACTCAAATACATATAATTTAGAAAATATAAAAGTCAAAAGGATTGTCCTTAATCATTAGTATTCATGAAACTCTAGAGCTGGAGATAGTTATATTTGTTATCTATTGCTGTGTAACAAATGATCTCTAACTTTATCAGTTTAGAAATGTGAAAGGAAATTAAATCTTTGGACCTCAAACTCATTAAGCCAAAGGGAAAAGTCAAGGTGAGAACTGGGGACATGCAAACTGCCTCCCCCTTTTTGGTTCCTAAATGAAATGGCTACAAGATGAAAATCTGTATGCCTGCCCCATATTGGTCCATAAGAGAATACCTAGTGAGCTGCAAGATCTTTACTCTAAGTTGTTTCTATTAAAATTTCACCATGACAATGTAAATTGATAGCTTATCTTTATAGATGCAGTCACCCCCAGCCCACCAGACGCAAATGAATATATGATTGTTCTCCTTCCCCATTTTGTCTGTATTCTTATGTAAAAGGAAGATTCCTTACATTTTTCCTCTGCCCCATTTGTCTATGCCATCTTGTTTTATTAAAAAAAAAAACAAAACAAAACAGATTCACTTGAGCCAAAGGCATGAATGACTATATTTCCCTACCCTTTTCTTACAGGAAAATTGTGTACTTCTCAATATCCCTCCTTTTCCCTTTTAAATTTGGAGCCCTCAAAATCATCTTCAGAGAGAAGCATAGACCTGTCTCCTAGGCATGCATCTTTAACTGGCAAATAAACCTCCCAAAATGATTGAGACTTATCTCATCATTTTCCTCAATTGATAAAACAGTAATATTTATAATCTCATCATTTCTGTATGTCAGTAATCCAAGTAGGACTTAGCTCAGGGTCTTTAATGAAGCAGAAGTAAAGGTGTTGGCTGGGACTTCAGCCAAGATCAGCTTCCAAGGTCATGGACATGATTGCTACAGGGCTCAATTCCTCATAGGGTATTGGATGGGGGAACCTCAATTTCTCAGAGGCTGCCTTTGGTTTTTTTACATGTGACCTTTTCCTTAAGACAGCTCACAATAGAGCAAATGGCTTTATCAAAGCAAACAACTGAGAGGACATGACAATATGAGGAAGAGGGAAGCCACAGGCTTGTATAACCTAATTTCAGAAGTGATACCTTTTATTTTTGCTTCACTTTTATTAGCTATAAGCAAGTCACTAGGTCCAGGGTGTGCTCGAGGGCATTAGATTATACAAAGAATTGAACATCAGGAGGCAGGGCTCATTGGGAGCCATTTCAGAAGCTGCCTACCACAGAGGTTAGGAAATATGCTAATATAAACCATTCTTTATAAAAAGAAACTGAGACATAGAAAAATAATTTTACCTGATGTGTAGCTTTATCAAAGGCCATCAGTAATCAAGACAGTTAACCTTTATTGAGTTCTTCATATGCCTGCACTCATTGCTAAGTTAATAATACACACTTTTTAATTTAATCCTCTGAGACACCTTTTGAAAAAAATGCATATTAATCCTACTTTACAAATTAGGAAACTGAGACTCAGAGAAATTCAATAATTTACTTAAATAACATCATATCCTGGTGGAAGAAGTGGGACTTAATTCCTGGCATCCGGATGCCTGATTTTACGCTTGTAGAAATGGTGTTATATTGAAGTTGCCACATGAACTAATTCTTAAGTTCCCTTAAAACTGCTGCTAAATACATTGTTCATGTTTTTAATTCATATTTTATTTAATTTTCTCAGAATAAGAAATGTATTCTAGTGTTAAGGTCAAGAAAATACTTTTTTATTCTCAAAAACTAGTCCACTTGTTTCATTTTATAATTGGAAGATAGATATTACTATTTCTTCCCTATCTGGCATGATTTGCAGAACAAAAAATTGATTCTTTAACAGCATGCATTGTTTTATAAGGCAACACAACTGTATTTATCAAGAACCTTAAAAATTTTATGCCTTTTAATCTTGCAAATAAATTATCTAGAGAACAAATGTAAATATACTGGAGGATTCCTGTCAGAGACAATCATTTTAGGGATTTTAATGGTGGTATATCAAAGATGAAATAAAATGTCCAAACTATGAGGTCGTGAAATATATTGAGAAGTTATGATACGATATTATTTAGCCATTTTAAAAGACATCAGGAAAAAATAATTAGAAAATTATTATGCATTAACTAAAAAATTATTATAAACATTTTGGATGAAACAAACTCAACTATGAAAGAAAAATGAATAGGAAAATAGAGCAAAAAATATGCAAAACTATTCAGTAGAAGTTGCTTGTGAATTATGTAAGCACAGTTATATTCTATATCTATTAATGTGATTTACTATTTTGAAAACTAGGAAATAAAATTAATTAGATAGATATTAAAGAGAATCATATTCCCAGAAAAATTCAAAGTTCCTTCCCTTTGTCTCTAAATTTCATCATGTTTGCATTCTGTTAAAATTTCATTCTCAGGATTTTACTTTTATTTTTGTCCTTTTTTTTTTTTTTTTTTTTTTGAGACAAGTTGGAGTGTAGCAGAGCAACGATAGCTCACTGTAACCTTGAACGCCTGGGCTCAAGCGATACTCCCACCAAAGCCTCCAGAGTAGTTGGGACTAAAGTCATGCACCACCATACCCAGCTATTTTTCCATTTTGTTTGTAGAGAAAGAGCCTTGCTAGGTTGCCAAGGCTGGTCTTGAGTTCTTGGCATCAAGCAGTCCTTCCACCTTGGCCTCATGAATCGCCAAGATTGCAGGCATAAGCCACTGTACCTAGCCTCATCCTCAGGATTTTAAAAAATAATTATTCTTAAATTGACTTAGATGTCTATCACGCCTCCTAGAAAAAAATTGCCTTACTAATAAATATTTCATGAGTCCTCAGTGCATAGCATAGTGTTTGGCACAAAATAGGTGCTTAAGGAATGTTTTTTTAAAGCATAAAAAATAAGTCTAAGCCAAGCACAGTGGCTTGTATATGTAATCCCAGTGCTTTGGGAGGGTGACACAGGAGGATTCCCTGAGGCCAGGAGTTTGAGACCAGTCTGGGCAACATAGCAAGACTCTGTCTCTACAGAAAATTGTTGAGAAATAACCAGATGTTGTGGCTCATTCCTGTAGTTCAGCTATTCAGGGGACTGAGGTGGAAGGATTGCTTGTCCCCAGGAGTTCAGTTTATAGGGAGCTATGACCACGCCACTGCACTCCAGCCTGGGTGACAGAGCAAGATCTTGTATCTAAAAATAACAATAATTATTATGATGAAAATAATGAGTCTATGGGGTTAGCATTTTTGTTTATCTTCCTTTCCATGGTCCTGACATTGTAGTTTATTAATATTGTTTATGTCTAACATAACTCAAATCCTTTTGGGAAAATTGATGAAGTAAACACATTTAAATTTCAGTGCAGACTTTTAACGAACAAAGAGTGGAAGACCAGGACTTAGGTTTTCTCACTGTGGACAATTTTGCTAATATCTATATTTCTCTCCTCAAGTAGATTTTGGAGTGAGTGTCTTAGCAAAAAACATTATATCTTATTCATGTTTTTGTTTTCTTACTCAGGGAGTCAGCATAGTTCCTGGCACAATATAAGCACTTACAAATATAGCAAGATTGATTGCTAGAATGAAGAAATGCTCCAAGAAGAGCAAAATTCAGTTCGTGCATTTAAAAAATAATATTTATTACTTGTATTTTTATATATGTAAGAAATTACAAAAATGCAAACAAGAAAATGAGCCATTGTCTCATATAGACAAGTCCTGATGGAATAAATATAAAAATACTAATTGTGCATTGTTAGAAAATTTGAAAAGTAAAGGAAGGGAATGATTCTTTCTTTTTACATTCTTATCTCCAGAGGTAACAATTGTTAACAATTTCCTGTAATTTCAAATAAGAACTTCTATATCTTAAACTACCAATAACTAGTAACATATCTTTAAACAGGTTTTTTTGAATTTTAGCTTACACCAGCATCACCTGGAAGGCTCGTTAAAACATAGACTGCCGGACTCTGTGCTCAGAATTTCTGATTCAATACACATGAGATGGTATCTAGAATTTTTATTTCCCAGGAGATGTCAGTGCTACTAGTCCAAAGCTCACACTTAGAGAACTACTTATTAACATACTTTACCAAAGAGATAATAAAATGACCACTATTTTGCCCTTGGCTTGTTCTCTCATAGAGTATCATAAGTGATAAAACTCATAGAATCATAAGTGATATTCTATGAATGAGTGAACACAGAGACATCTAGAGTTTGAAAGAAAACTTCAACCAACACAGAGACATCTAGAATTTGAAAGAAAACTTCAACCCAACACAGAGACATGTAGAGTTTGGAGGGAAAGAGTATTTAAAAGAAATAAGAGAAAATTAAGACTGAAAGCCTTGTGATATCTGAAGCTTGGGGAGGAAAGCAGAATAAAATAAGAGGCATATCTAAATCAGGTTGGAGAATATATGTCAAAGTTTTCCTTTTTCTTTGAACTGGTTCCTTTTAGGTACTACCATTTTTATCAACTTTTTTCCTTTCTCTTATAGATATCTATACCGTCAAAAATTGAGCAAGCTTGTATTTACAGGAAAAGTTATGCTCTCCTTTTTTAAACTCAGCACAGTAATTTAAAGGATCAGCAAACAAACAGCTGCAACTTCTCATTAACATGAAAGAACAGACTGGTGTGATCCTATGATTCCTGAAGTGTGTTTTGGGTTCTGTATTTTTCCATGACTGAGAAAGCACTGAACTTTTTCGTGTAAAATCTGTATAGTCAGACTCTATTACCCTGATGGTTTAAAGCTCCCTGTAAAAATCTGTGTTCCAATGGGTAAAATCTTCGATAACAAACTTGTGTCATGTGATTGAAAAGAATATTTAGCAAAATTTGCTGAGGATGCAATTTAAAGCTAGCTAACATTTAAGATTATACAGTATCATCTTTATAAATTGCTAGTCATGTGGTTGACTACTTCTGAAGAATTTTAGATTGCCAGGGTTTGTAAAATGAATTTAGAGGGACTATGTAAATGTGATGAAATTTGGAAGCTTGATGCTATTTCCAGAAGAGAAGTTTAAAAAGTTAATTTTTAAATCTACTGAAAGGCCTCAGAGTGAAGAGAGGAGAAGAAGAAAACCAAAATTCTCATGAATGAGCCTACCTCAGGAAAAAACAAGAAAATGCAAGTACGAAGGGGAGATTTACTCTGCTACTGTATTAAGTATCAACACACTTTATATAATTAAATTGATATTAATGCCAAAATTGCTATAGCAATTATTTAAACAATTTGTATGTTTATTAAAAGTTAAGATAACATTTTTTGTTACTTTTGGTCTGCTATAACTTGGTATAATTTCCACACTCTCACATAATCAACCTAATTTAAAATTTTGGATAGGCTAATTAATTATAATTACTATACTTGCAGGTCACTGTGTTATAATATTTGATGCAAGCAAAGTTTTCCAAGATTTCATAAAAGGCTACTACCTACTGCATGCTACAATTTCAGCATAATAAAAAAATGTATGATAAATAGAAAGATGAAAATAGTGTTTTCACATCCAATATTCTCTTGTTAAAGCCTTATCTTACTAGGGATATGTTAAGGAATTTTGTAAATGCTAGTAGCTATTTACTCCTTTCAGTAATAGTAGAAAGAAATGAAATGTAAAACTTAGGATTATGTGCAATTGAATTTTTCTCTATTAAAATCATAGATGAACAGTGAAGAAACTAGATATTTGTAATGTCAGCAAAGAAAATGTGAATATACTTTGCCCTCAATTTTAACTTCTATTGATGTTTAAAATGAATATGTAAGTAAGTGAGGGTGTCATGATGTAGAGCCTCAAAACTTCTCCCCAAGTGTAAAGTGTGACGCTTTTGTAGGTATCACATTTTGTTTTAGCTGACAGAGCAAGAATAGATTGTCCTCTATGGATGAACTCTAATTAATCAAAATCAAAATATGAAGAAGTCAAACTTAAATGAGGATTATAACTGATACATAGAACATTGATGATACTGTTAACACAAACAGTGAATTATCTTTCTTAGGCACTGAAAGTAAAATTATAATCAAAGTTTTTAGATGAGTATGGAGCAAAGGTGATTTGAATACTTAATAGCATGAAGCAATGACAGCCAAATGTGTTCATTTTCTTAATAGCCATTACTAAACCTCTTGTGCCCTCTTATAAAACTCTCTTCATTGAGCCTCATGCCACCCAGACCTTATCCTTGTTACAGGCTGACCTCTCTCAAACTCCTTCCATCACATTCTTTAAGGACTATGGCCCCTGGCTTATAAACTTTCTCTCCTCCATTAATTCCACTATCTTCCAGAACGATTTAAAAGTGAGTGGGAAAATAAACATCCCCACTTTAACCTTAGACCACTGTGACTTTATGAACCCCAGTGAATTTCTCACTTTCTTCACTCCAGTAACACTAAATTGTTTCATTAACTAGAGTCACAGTATCTATTAAACTTCTGAGATCTAAACTCCTACAGCCCATTTTTTTTAGGATGTTACTGGACACTTCCAGGGTTTTTACTCTCTTATTTATAATCTAGTTTTTTTCCAATATTACCTAGATTTAGACCATTTACAACACATTTTCTCCCAATCTGTATGGTCTCTTAAACATTTTATTTTATTTACTATGAACATGATTTCCATTTATCCCGGTTTGCTTAGTGATAAAAGTTTATTCCTGTTCCAGTATCTTGTTTGGCCATTGCCTTCTTTCACTCTCAAGTATTTCTCAGTTTGGATAAATTATATAATCACTCAACTGTGAAAAATAAAATCTTTCTCTCTAGTATCCTAAATACCTGACCTCATTTTTGCTCCATTGTAACTACTTTTCATTGACACAACGTCCTGACTTGGTTTCATCTTCACCTGGTTCACTGAGCGTGCCTGGAGAAACCCCACCCCACCCCCACCATTGCATATGGAAGCCAATGTGAATTCCTACTCTCCAATCACATGTGCAATTTCAGTACTACCCACAGATCCTCTGACAAATCCCTTAGCCACATTTCTCTCTCATTGCCATAAACAATTCTTTCAGACTAAAAGTTCCCTTCAACACCCCCTGCCCTGCAAGCTGCTCTCTCATCCTCAGGCCAAATTTGATTCCTACCTCATTAAGATAATTAAATCAAGAGGTTTCTTGATTGTCTTCTCTGATCTTTACAAATGAGCAGCCATTAGCTTGTTCATTTTCCAACTCCCTTTCTTAATCGGCGGGAGTGGTATGCCATCTCCTATACAAAGCAAATCCCTGCATGTAGAGGCTTTGTTTTGCATCCTTTACACAACTCAAATACCTTGCTCCATCAATCACATCTTCTCAAACCTGCATCATCAGCCTTTGTCTCTTCAATGGATTTTTTTGATGCAGGCAAAAAAAGTCTGTTCAATATTAAAAACAAAATAAAACAATTTTTCCTGACTTACAGTCCCTTCTGTTTGGTGACTTGTTTTCTTAAGGCAGGTTTTTAAAATGATTAATCAGCGCTGTGTTCATTTCATCACCTCCCATTTATACCTTAGTCCACTGTGTTCTTGCTTCTGCCCACACCAATCTATAAAACTGCCCTTTCCACCATGGCCTTTCTTGTCTCTAACATCTCCCATTATTTTACTTCCTTAAAACATTTTCTTCTGTTTTTCTGCTACATATCTGGCTTCTATTAAGGTACTTTCAATGGATTTTTTTCCTACTCATCTCTTTCATATCCATGTTCACCAGGGCCCAACCATGACCCTGTCTTTTTCCTCTTCTATTCATTGCCCCTGAATACCTCATCAGAACTCATGCTGATTGCCTGAATGCTTATTTTAATCACCTTCATACAGGTTATGAACCACTATTAGAAGCTGTACCTATTACTGAAAGTAATAAGGTGCATCAGCAACTCATGTTTGACCTTAGTTCTTTCCAGAACACTTCTCCACTACTCAGTGCTATGCGGCACTCATTTTGTCAGACTTCGCCTATTAATAGTTTAACCAGTAGAGTGTAGTAATTATCTTTAGCCTGTTCCAAATAAGAATACTTTATCTTCAAATTCTTTCAACTTTGATATTTATACCAGATCTAATTCACATATACTTGTTTCAAGTGTGCCGCATGTAACATTACATAGATAATAAGTAGTCTTTATAAATATAATCATTATCAAAAAATTTGGAGCAGTTATTTAAGCTTAACAGGAGATTAATACTATAGCTACAAAACTGAGAAGATTAGAAATATTGATAACACTTTATGATATTTTAATGTGTTCAGAAATAAGTCTTAGGAAGAATAGGTGTTATCTACTCTTTGCCTGGTAGTAATGTGGCATGTGGGAAATGACTTCTTCAACCACAACAGGCAGTAAATGCCTCCTGGAACATTAAAATATCAAATCCTCTTATAATTGATCAAAACAAAGAAGTAAACCAATGTATAGAGATTTATTTTTAACATAATGATAGTAGTCATAGTAAAATTGGTTAATATATCAATGAATCACAGAAATCTGACCTTTCTGCATAAAGAATAAAAATCATAGGAACGTATGTGTATTAGTTATGTGTGTGTGTGTGTGAGTGGGTGGGTGTGTGTGTGAGTGGGTGGGTGTGTGTGTTGGCTGACATTTATTTTCAACTTTTAAAGAGTAGAGGTCTAGATATCCTAGGATTCATATACCCCAGCCTGATGGCTATAACTTTCAGGATTATTCTTTTCTAAAATATAGTTATAGTAAATGACTTAGTATTTATATTAGAAATTGATGTGCTATGAATAAAGAGCCAAAGTAGGATATTTATCAGAAATCTTCTCTTCACATGTCTTGTTGTATCCCTTGCAAAAATAGCATGGTGGAGAAAACATTCATTTTAATTTTGAGCACCTAATAAGCTTTGCTTTTTCAATACTTGAACTATTTTTCAAATTTTACTATAAAAATAACTCTATTTATCTTAGCCTCTAGGCATTTGTACATTGAAAATACATAAATCATCTGAGGAGTAATGAAACAACTGCAGCCCAGCAGAAACTTGAGGAGATAAAAGCATTGTTTTAAAAACAGATGCAAAATCTGTATTGGACTGACAGTAGAAAGAAACAGACTGCTTGCTTTCAGCAAACCTGAGTTACATGTGAAGGAGCCATACTGCAAAGGCTACAGAAGGTTTGTTTTCTCATGAATGAGAACAGAAATCAATATATTCTACAAGATTTTGGAGATCACATTCCGACTGGGATTTTAAAAGCAGATGGAAGAAAGGACATCATCCTAAAGAAGGATCAAACTAGACCTTCATAAGAGGCCCAGGAAATCTTTGACTTTAATATTCTTATCATGGGTAACATTCATTTGGTTTTTAGTTGTTTTTAAACTCAGAATTAGAGAAAAAACCTTATTTTTAATGATCTAGATATTATTTTCTGACTTAACGTCTTTAGTGGAAAAGAAAATATAAAGACAAAAAGGTATAAAGGTATAGATATTATAGACAAAAGATACAAGACAGAAAGGACAGAAGGGAATACATATTGTAAAATGATATATATGTTTGAAATATGTGGTTGACCCTTGAACAGCATGGTCTTAAATTGTGCAGGTCCACTTAAAGGTGGATTTTCTTTCACCTCTGTCACCTCCTGAGACAACAAGACCAACTCTTTCTACACTTCAGCCTATTCAATATAAAGATGATGAGAATAAAGACCTTCATGATAATCCACTTCCACTTAATAAATAGTAAATATATTTTATCTTCCTTACGGTTTTCTTAACATTTTCTTTTCCCTGCCTTATTTTACTGTGGGAATACAACATGTAACATGTATAACACATATAATATGTGTTAATCAACTGTTTACATGATTGATAAAAGCTTCCAGTCATTTATTTGTTAAGTGACTATTATTAGTTAAGCCCCTACATTGTTCAAGCATTCAAGTGTCAACTATATGTACATATGTGCATGGTTTGACAGACCAAAATAGTTGCCCCTTTATCAACTGAGATAGATCTGAAGGTTAAAGAAACAAAAGTTACCCATGGTTCAAGGGTTCAGTGCCTGGCTGACATGGAAAATTTCTAAATTCCTATAACTACAAGAAAAACCACACTCTTGTGAAACTCCATAAGAATAGGAGCTACCAGACAAATTATCAGACCTCTCCTAACTCTGTTTTAAAACCCAGGGCATTATAACTCTGATTGGACAGAGGATCAGCCTTTCATTCTCATTGTCTTTGTTGGCTTCAAGCTTCTTTTGATTCTTTGTTCTGACTTATTGCTCTTTATTTATCTGTATCTTAGATTCAATCCAAACAGTGACAACTCCCTAAACACTTCTATACTTACAGGTGTTCCATAGATTCTCCACACAATCGACATAACTATTTCCTAGTCTTTGATAAGACTGTAATATGAACAGAATATAAATTAATACTTAAAGATCTAGGGTCATGGGGGAAGACTTATGCTTACTAATCTTCATCACAAAGAACAGATAAACTACCCTCTCACACACATACATGGCACATATTACATAACTCTTTCAATTCTTTTAAATTTTATTTCAAATAGTTAAAACATTTATTTAAAGTGTCTTTGACTACCCTACCACTGAGGCTATCATTCACAACGCAGTTTTAACTTTTTTTGAAACCAGTCTATAGAGGCCTCTAGAACTTTTTTCATTCTCCAATTCTAATCTTCACTTGCCACTGACCTTCTCCCCATATAATGGTCTCAGGCCACCCTAATTTTTCCTCCCTAGTCCTCGCCTTTATTTGCAAACAATTCAACTTCATTTAGCCCAAGTTCCTAAATTCAGCAAAAAAGTCAACATTTGCATACTTTAAATCCTTTGAAATACCCAATTGACACGGAATGATCTCCCTTTTCTAATTTCTTATGAATAATTCACATACCTTGAAAAGGAGTCTTTTAGAATTAAAAAAGTTTTCCATTGCTACATAAAAAGGGATTTTGTTTGCTTATTTTTAAAATAGAGAGAGTTTTGCATGCCACTATCTTGAACCAATTTAATTCATGACACTCTGAAATACACTTTCAAATATTCTCATTTAACAATTCAGCAAACAGATGTTTAGAGAAATTTTAAAATTTGCTTAAGATTTCACAGATATGAAGTGGCTACATGGGATTCTGGTTATGAATCCAAACAATGGATTTTTTTTTTAAGATTAAAGAGATTTATCTAGCATTTTTTGGTTCATATGAAAGTAATTGTATGCTTTATCCATCAGAAGGTATGCAGAATTAAGTCCAGAAGAAGCCAGAACATAGAGCTAAAATATAAAATTTAGAGGGGTAAAATTGAAAAATAAAACACTTTAGTAGTTTGACAGATTGATAGGTATAACATGATTTGTTTCCTGAATATTCTATTATAATGATGGCATGGTTTATGAAATAAAGTGAAATTCACAGCCAGAAATGAAGTGGATGTGTGCTCACGAGTGGGAGTCTTCCAGAGTAGATAGAGAAATCTCAGATCCGTTTTTCCAATCTATTTGAACTTGTAGTTGGAAAACTAGCTCCTAAACTCTTAACTGCTGTGTAGTACTGCCTCATATAATTTTAAGTGAAGCACATGGCTTCAATAAACACTGAAGAGCACTTAAAGACCCACTAGGGAAAAATTATTAATGAGTCCATGAATTTTTAAAAAGTTGGTGGGAGTGAAGTTTATTGATTTTGTGTGTATGAATGTGTGTGAAGGCATAGTTGCTGATTTCAAAATAACTCCCTGAAAACTGAGAATCGCTGAATGATTCTTTTGCCTCTACTGTATTACATAGTGTAGTGGGGGTAGTCACCTCTCTGGAGTCAGATCTAGGTTTGAATCCTAGCTCTTCTGTTGCTGGGTGAGACACTGCAAGCAAGATAGTGCTCCATGCTTCAGTATTTTTAAACTATGAGGATGGAGATGATAATAATGCCTATCTCCTTAGGTTGTTAGGAGGATTGGTGAAATGTTGCTCATCAGATATACACTGTGTTTTGCATGGAGTTAGTCCTCAATAAATGATAAATATACACTATTCTTTGATAATTGTTTAATTGTATGCAGTATATAAAAACTTTCCGTTGAGAATTTTGTCCCAGAAGAGAAACATTCCTAATTGAGTAAAAATTATGTTGTTTTTTTAATGAAGACACAATGACATAAGTGATTTGAAATCTTAATTTTTTAGCTGTAAGTTTACATTGTCATTAAAAGTCAGCATGAATGATGACAATATTTTAACAGTTTTATCGAGCTGTAATTGACATACCACAAACTGCACGTATTTAAAGTATACAATTAAATAAGTTTTGACATACCTATGCATCCACAGAGGTTCACAGAAAGAAGATAATGAACATATCCACCACCCCTGAAGGTTTCCATTGTCTTTCCCTCCACCTCTCACCGCTTGCCTTGGCTCCTGCCCATTCACCCGGCAACAACTAATCTGCCTCTGTTACTATATATTAGTTTTCAATTTCTAAATATTCTAAATGGAATTGCACAAAATGTACTCTTTTTGTCCAGCATAATTACCTTGAGTTCATCTATGCTGTTGTGTGTTTCAATAGTTTATTCCTTTGTATGGATGAGTTGTATTCCACTTTTTGCACATACCACAGTTTGTTTATCCATTCTCCTGTTGGCAGACATTTGAGCTGTTTCCTTTTTTTCACTAATACTAATACAAAAAGCTGTGGTGAACATATGTCCACAACATATAGACATATATTTCCTTACAAAGTATACGTATAGGGACATAACAAGGTCCCTATATGTATATTTTGTATTGACATATACTTTCAATTTCCTTCAATAAACACCCAGATGTAAACTTCCTGTATTATATTGAAATGCCTAACCTTGTTTTTACTTTAACTCGTTACTTTGAATTTTGTCCTGCTTGTCTCTTTAATCACCTAGCCTTGCTTCTCATGTAAATATGACTCTAGCTAGGAAGGCCTGACAAACTCCAATTGACCCCTTAATTTACAAGACACTAAGGGCTCCTCACTCAACCCCCTTTTGTAAGGAGTTGGCCTGGGTAAACAGATCCTCAGCATTTCAAAGGAGCCCAATTAACTGATAAGGTACTAACACCAACAATGTATGAAGTTCCCAGGATTTTTCTCCAAGAGATAACAACATAAAACGTTGAGTTCATGTCCGGCATAGACCCTATATCTAATTTTAATGAAAGATTTAGAACCTTGCACCTGGTACCGTTGCTCTTCTTGTAACCATTTGTCTTTTAAGTTGTTTATCACTCTGTAACCATTTTGCTTCTTTTGATTCTTGCATGTTTTTACTTCTGTAGAATTATTACATTTGAGTCCCCCTCCCCTTCCTAAACCTAGGTATAAAAGTTAATCGAGCCCCTTCCTCGTGGCAGAGAGAATTTTGAGCATTAGCTCTCTCTTTGGCAACCGGCTTAATTAATAAAGGATTCTTAATTCATCTCAAAGTGTGGCATTTCCTTAACTCGCCTGGGTACAACAATATCATGGTTGTATGTTTTATTGAAGAAACTAAGGGAGGAGACCATGCCTCATATTGTCTTATGCCCAATTTCTGCCTCCAAAGAAAGAAGCAGTAAAAACCAGAAGGCAGAAATGGAATCCACAGGCAGATAGCCGAGCACCGCGCCCTGGGCCTGGTAGTTAAAAATCAACCCCTGACCTAACTGCTTGTGTTATGTATAGATTCCAGACATTGTATGGAAAAGCATCGTGAAAATCCCTGTCCTATTCTGTTCCATGCTGATTACCTGTACATGCAGCCCCCAGTCACGTACCCGCTGCTTGCTCAATCGATCATGACCCTCTCACATGGACCTCCTTAGAGTTGTAAGCCCTTAGAAGGGACAGGAATTGCTCACTCGGGGAGCTCGGTTTTTGGAGACGTGAGTCCGCCGATGCTCCCAGCTGAATAAAGCCCTTTCCTTCAACAACAGGGTGTCTGAGGGGTTCTTGTCTGTGGCTCGTCCTGCTACAAAACATCCAAGCTGTTTCTGAAGTAGTTATATCATTCTGTATCCCCACCAGCAGTGCATACAAATTCCAGTTCTCTCACGTTATTTTTCAACACTTGGAATGGTTAATGTTATTGTTTTAGCCATTCTAGCTATCGGTGTGTAGTGATATCTCACTGTGGTTTCAATTTGTCTTTTTCTATTTACTAATGATGTTGAATACCTTTTCATGGTGCTTATGTCCCATACCCTATATCTTCTTTGGTTAAGTAATCAGATGTTTGTCAATTTTTTAAAAAAAATTCAGTTTACCTCATTATTGACGTTGAGTTCCTTATGTATTCTAGATACAAGTCCCTTATTATATATATATATAATATAAATATAAATATTTATAAATCACACACATATGTGTGTGTGTGTGTGTGTGTGTGAGATTTATAAATATTTTCTCCCAATTGGTAGCTTGTCTTTTCATTCTTTCGACATTGACTTTTGAAGAGTAGACATTTTTAATTTTTATGAGCTCTAATTTTTCAACTTACTCTTTTACAGTTTGTTCAACTTCTTGCCCAGCTGTTCCTATTAATATTTTTAGTGTGGAAGAATATATTATCTGTGAAATAAAATATTGCTATGATCCAGGTTGCTAGAGACTATACTATAACAGAGGGTAGAAAAGTTAATATAGCAAGATTATAAATGTACAATGTAGCCCATTCCAAATTAATGTAAAATGTTGCTAATCCTCCTTTCTGATAGGAGTAAAAGGAATGTTTTTGTCAACTCAATGACCACATGTCAGGTTCCTGTGATAATGTTAATCTACTATAATAATGATACTACATCTATCACAACAGCTGCAATTAGGTTACTTGAAGACAGTTAAGGAAAAACTGAGGATTTAAGGTCTTTGGGTGTATCATCTCTGAGGATCCCACTTCTTCCTTCTGGGACCCTAACATTAAGATAACAAGCTATGGACTATACAATTTGACCTCTTCCAGAGCTCTTCTACTCTTATGATTGTGCACTGGACTGATCATCAGCTTTTCCTGGCTTCCTAATTGAGAAATTGATCATTTCCGCATGCTCTAAGGCCCCCCTCTTGCTTTCACTGTTTACCTTTAGTTGGTGATTGATCACTCTTAGTCTCTTTCCATATCATTAATCAGTCCTAGAAAGAGCCATTTAAATCAACAATTCTCATGCTATTATTTACACCACACTTTCTAAATATCTGCTACACAGGACCCATCAGTGCATTCTTGGCATTCCGTCCCAATTCATCATTAGTGAAAGTGTTAAAATGCACTATTACCACTTAACAGGTGTTATCAGTGCTTCATTTACCACCAGTGATGGGACCCTCCCTGTCCGCTGGCCAGAGGGTAACAGAGCTCTAAAATTAAGTTTTTGTATCTGCTTCTTTGGATCACTCCTTGTACCAACTATCTTACATGGATTCTCTGTGTAAACAGGTACTAAGACACAGATTTGTATACAAGAAGTTTACTGGAGAGTGCTCTTAGAAACAACAACTATGGGGTATTAAAGGAAGGAAGACCAGGAAGAGGAAGAAATTTAACTATTATGCAGTAATGACAAAGGTCTCAGCTGATCCCATGAGGAAGTCTAAAGTTAGAATTACCCTTGGAGGTGTTCTAAATTGTTGCAAGTCAAGTATTTATTAATTAATTAAAAAGATAAATTCATTATATGTTAAACAATGCATTTTCGCAAACAATGGCTATATTTTGCAGACAAAAATTTAATGAGGAATGGCATTGTTTTACATTTTAAATCTTTTTAAAAAAATTCCTGGTTTCATAGAGAGGAGCTGGATAAACTCTGTTGCAAATATGACATGGCATGTGGCTTGTGGAAATTCCCACCATAAACTAGTGAGAGAAGAGGAGTGAAAAAGGCAAGGAACATCCCAATATTATCATGAAAATGTTTCGAGTGTTTGAGAAACCCAACAGTCCATGGACCATGTATTGAAAACTGCTACATTAGACCATGCTCTGGTGATGAGTGCAGTTGCTATTCCTTAAAACAGCAGTCCTCAACCTTGTTGGCACCAGGGACGAGTTTCACGGAAGACAATTTGAGAGGGGTGTAGGGATGGTTTCAAGACGAAACTATCCCACCTCAGATGATCGAGCATTAGTGTCTCATAAGGAGAGCACGACCCAGATCCCTCACATGCACAATCACAATAGGTTTGGTGCTTCAGGCAGAATCCAAAGCTGCTGCTGATCTGACAGTAGGCAGAGCTCAGGTGGTAATGCTCACTTGCCCATGGCTTACCTCCTGCCGGTGTGGCCCAGTTTCTAACAGGCCAAGGACGTTGGCCAGAAGTTTAGGGAATCCTGCTTTGAAAGCATGATTGCATTAGTCTGTCTCTTTAAGTCCTTGTAACTTTTTTGGTTAATGGACTTGTGTAAGTCATTTGGGATGTTTCCAAATATTTTGATCCTCTTCTCCATTTAGGGGCAGGTAGACTTGTATATGTTTCTACTCCCTTTGAAGTTAAGTCTAGGTATAGTATTTGCTTTAGCTAATGAAATTGAGTCTGAGAAGTGTATGTTGTGTTCTGGGAATTAGGAGACAATATGCAATTTTCTATATTCTATTGTTCCTGTCTTGAATGCCTGAGTGTTGGCAATGACCATACTGATGCGCATTGGAAATGTAGCATAAACAAGAAGTACGCCTCTTGTATTAAGTTACTCAGATTGTGTGGATGTTTGTTATGGTAGAATAACCAATCCTATAAGAGTTAATGTAGTGAATGTACTGTGTGGATGTGTGTGTATATGGTCCCAATAGGTATACTTAAACATTATTTTCAAGGTTTGGATTAGGGCCAGTAGAACTTCAACCCAAGCCAAATGTGGCTCTGAATGTGGTGTTATGAACTTCAAATTGTGCAGCACCTAGTGAAGTAGGGCTTTAATTACCATTAGAGGTTTTATTTCTTGGAGATGACTTATTTGAAAAATTGTAAGAAAATTACAAATTTACAAGAAAAAAACAAACAACTCCATCAAAAAGTGGGTGAAGGATATGAACAGACACTTCTCAAAAGAAGACATTTATGTAGCCAAAAGACACATGAAAAAATGCTCACCATCACTGGCCATCAGAGAAATGCAAATCAAAACCACAATGAGATACCATCTCACACCAGTTAGAATGGCAATCATTAAAAAGTCAGGAAACAACAGGTGCTGGAGAGGATGTGGAGAAATAGGAACACTTTCACACTGTTGGTGGGACTGTAAACTCGTTCAACCATTGTGGAAGTCAGTGTGGCGATTCTCAGGGATCTAGAACTAGAAATACCATTTGACCCAGCCATCCCATTACTGGGTATATACCCAAAGGACTCTAAATCATGCTGCTATAAAGACACATGCACACGTATGTTTATTGCGGCAATATTCACAATAGCAAAGACTTGGAACCAACCCAAATGTCCAACAATGATAGACTGGATTAAGAAAATGTGGCACATATACACCATGGAATACTATGCAGCCATCAAAAATGATGAGTTCATGTCCTTTGTAGGGACATGGATGAAATTGGAAATCATCATTCTCAGTAAACTATCGCAAGGACAAAAAACCAAACACCGCATATTGTCACTCATAGATGGGAATTGAACAATGAGAACACATGGACACAGGAAGGGGAACATCACACTCTGGGGACTGTTGTGGGGTGGGGGGAGGGGGGAGGGATAGCATTAGGATATATACCTAATGCTAAATGACGAGTTAATGGGTGCAGCACACCAGCGTGGCACATGTATACATATGTAACTAACCTGCACAATGTGCACATGTACCCTAAAACTTAAAGTATAATAATAATAATAAAAAGAAAGAAAAGAAAAGGGGGAAGGGTGATTGCCAGAGCAGGAATTTTACATTGTAAAATCATCTTAGCACCCTCAAAAATCTAACTTCCCTTCTAACACTAGACTTTCAGTAACCATCCAGAGAGAACAATTGTGTGATTCGCTAATTTATGAGTAAGTTATGTAGTATATATTTATCTATTTGTTTGTGTTTTAGAGACAGAGTCTCTCTCTATTGCCAGCCTGGAGTATAGGGGCATGATAATAGCTCACTGCAACCTCAAACTCCTGGGTTTAAGCAATCCTCCAGCCTTAGCCTCCCAAGTATCTGAGACTACAGTTGCATGCCACCATACCTGACTAATTTCTTTATTTTTATTTTTATAGAGATGAGGTCTCTCTATATTGGCCAGGCTGGTCTCAAACTCTTGACCTCAAGTGATTCTCCCTCCTTGACCTCCCAAAGTGCTACTATTACAGGCATGAACCACTGTGCCTGTGTTATATTTTAAATTGGCATATTTTATGTGTGATTATGTTGGGATATATGAAGAGAAGCTAGAGTTTTTAGCACTTTACAGAACAAATTAATGCAGCAGGCCCCCTTATATGAAATTTGAAATAAATTGTGAAACCAATTAATAATTTTGAAATATAAATCAATAGTAGTAGATGACAATTCTTCCCCTATTGCCTTTCTGTGTAAAGTTACAAATGCTCAAGAACCTAATAATGAATAAACTGAATCCCTTTTGTCAATGTGTGTGTGAGAGAGAGAGAAAGAGAGAGAGAGAGAGAGAGATGCAACAATATAACCTTTCTTATGTTCCATATGGTTATGGCTGAATTTCAAAGATTAAGTATAATACAGTAGGAACCAGGTACTCCAGATTCTGATATGATATGCTAGAATGTGCATGTAAGTCTTGATAAACAATTGTGAAATTGGTTTAGCCAGCATTAACTCATCAGTGACTTGGAAGCTACTTAAGAGAAGGCAAATTATTAGTTGGGCAGCTGAGGAGCCTAGAGAAGTTTCTTCTTTGGAGGAAGATATTTGGGGGCTTGCATGCTGGTGGTGAAGGGTGTGCATAGATAATTCTCCCAAGAGTGCAAAAAAATCACCTGGAGAACTCGATGTATAGTCCCTGAAGTATGAGGGACTGGTTTCTGACACATCCTGAAAAGTCTGAAGTTTAGAGCCAGCACTTCACAAGCCACTACTAAATACCAAAGTAAAGAGGACTGTTTGTCAATGCTTTTGCTTTCAAAATAAAAGACAGTGCATGGTTGCAAGCATAAAGAATATGGGTATGTTGTATTTCCTGGAAGGCAGGTAGATGGGGCAAACTTGACTGGAACACTGCACAAGAGGACAGTGTAAGGGAAAGGGTGAATCAAAGAGGGATATCTGAAACCAGTTAGCAGAGATAATATGCATGAGAGGTCAGAGGAGGCATGGTTTACTTCAAAGAAGTATAGATGAGAGCAGCCAGGGAATAGAAAAAAAAAGTCATCTAAGCAACATATCTGCTCTTGCCTCAAGACTGTATTAAATTATATACTGGAATCACTCACACACAGAGGCAGCCAAACACAGATTACATAGCTTCAATTCAAATAAAACTTCATGGCTTCTTATTTCTTTGCCCTCCAACCACTGCTTCAGAATCGGCAGGACCAATATTGCAGCTCCTTAGTGGAGGAGATTGAAAAACAAAAAAGAGAGAGAGAGAGAAGGGCTCATAGCACCTACCCCACCTGCAAGCATGCAGTGCTAAAGAGGACTAGAACTGGGGCCCAGGGAAGGATTAAGTTGAAGAAAAGTCTGAAGATTTGATGCTATGCTGGACTGGATCTTTTTAGATATATCTAGGAGGAAGCAATTTATTTATTCCAAAAAAAATGATAAAAGACTGAGACTTGATCTACAGAAAGGGGAAAGTGGATACAGAGAAAGTATTTGTAGGACCATGGTGAGGAGAAAAGCGTTATTTTTGCCTCTAACCAAACGAACTAGGTAAAATTTCACACTTTTTATTTTAGATTCAGTGGATACACGTGCAGGTTTGTTACAAGGGTATATTGTATGATGTTGAAGTTGGGGTTTTATTGATCTCATCACACAGATAGTGAACATAGCACCCAATAGTTAGTTTTTCAGCCCTTGCTTCAACTCTTTCCCTTCTTTTGTAGTCCCTAGTGTCTATTTTTCCCATCTTTATGGCCATGTGTACCCAAGATAACCAAGATTTAGCTCCCTCTTGTAAGTGAGTACATGAAATATTCAGTTTTCTGTTTCTATGTTAATTTGCTTAGAGTAATGGCTTCCAGCTGCATCTATGTTGCTGCAAAGGACAGGATTTTTTTCTTTTTATGGCTGCAAAGTATTCCATAGTGTATATGTACCGCGGTATCTTTATCTAATCCACCATTCATGGGAACTAAGTTTGATTCCATCTCTTTACTATTGTGAGTAGTGCTGCAATGAACATTGGTGTCTTTTGTGTAGAACCATTGATTTTCCTTTGAATATATACCCAGTAATGAGATGCCTGAGTAGAATGGTAGTTTCTATTTTTAGGGTTTTTTGAAAAACTTCCAAACTGCTTTCCACAGTGGCTGAACTAATTTACATTCCCACCAACAATGTATAAACATTCCCTCTTCTCCACAGCCTCACCAGGATCTTTATTTTTCTGATTTTTGAATAATTGCCATTCTGACTGGTGTGAACATTTTCATTTTAAAAACAATACAATTATTAATTCCATATCAGACTAAGAATGAACACCAGCATTTTTCTTTTTTTTTTTTTTTTTTTGGCTTTTAACTAGATCATTAACAAAAGTTTCAGACCTCTTTATATTAGGCTGTTCTCACACTGCTATAAATAAATACCTGAGTCTGGGTAATTTATAAAGAAAAGGGATTTAATTAGCTCATGGTTTGACAGGCTGTACAGGGGGCATGATGCTGGCATTGGCTCAGCTTCTAGAGAGACCTCAGGAAACAGAATCATGGTGGAAGGTGAAGGGAAAGCAGGAATGTCTTACATGGCCAGAACAGGAGCGAGCAAGAGAGATGGGGGAGGTGCTACACACTTTTGAAACAACCAGATCTTATGATAAATCATTTATGTTCCCATTCTCATGACAACAGAGCCTAGAGGATAGTGCTAACCCATTCATGAGAACTCTACCTCTATGATCCAATCATCTCCCACCGGGCCCTACCTGCAGCACTAGAGATTATAATTTTACATGAGATTTGGTGGGAACATAGATCCAAACCATAACACCTCCTTTTATGGACTTTTTACCAGAAAATTATTATTTTTAAAAAAAGTACTTTGAATTTATTGACCTCTAAGTCCATATATATTTATGACTGCTATCTTTCAAAGTTTATAATTCAACAGTACTTTAACTGTGCTAAAATATTATATTTTATAATCATTTTTGATGCTTTTAAAAATTAAGAGAATCCCATTTTGACCTGGCTTTACACTCTTTATTAAACTTTTCTATTTACCATTCTAGGAAGAAAAATTTTTATACCAGTTCTCTGTGTTATATATTTTGAGCCTTTTATCACCTAGATTCCTTCTTTATAATCCCATAATTGATATCATTCAGTTGCTAGGAGTGAAAAAGAGATACCTAACAGAAAATTGCAGGAGAATGCAATGAATGAAAACCATTTCTATAAAGAATCTTTAGCTTTCTTTACATCATTAGATGGAACATTCTAAAATTTGCACAATATAATAGAATAAAAGTGATTCATCACCTGTACATAGACCCAAGAAACATTTTCTTCTTTTCAAATACTGCCCTTACCAAAAATACTATTTTTATGTTCTACCTCATTTGGTTTCTATGTGGACATTTTGAATTAGCAGAGGGAATTAGTGAAGCTAGGAGAGAAGTCATACTGTTTTTTACCTTCATTGGTACTAACAAATGCTGTTGTGTGCAAATGAGCTTAAAAATCTCTATGCAATTAGCTTTCCATTTTACCTTGAATGTTTTAGTGAAGATTGTTAGCTAATCAAGCTGAGAAATTGAAATAGAGTGCACACAAAATTGTTTATGGTAATATTATAAACAAGCAGGGCAGATAGCACTGTACCTGTTTTACTACTGCAGTAAAATAAGCAGTGATATCAGCATTGCATCCATTTAAGTGTAATTGTACAAATTGCTAACTAATCAGATGAGAAACACAGTACTTGAAAGAACAATGTTCTTCCTATATGCTATTATCTTTGTGTATTTAGCTATGTAAGTAAACTATTTTTAGACTAACACAAAGAATTTGAGGATGGATTTAAAAAAATATTTTGGTAAAATAAAGTGAATGTATGTTTTTCTGAAATAATAGGCCTTGGACATTTCATTAAAAAATGTAAAATTGGGCAAATGCATAATATTCACGGAAAAAAAATAGTACAGCTCTGTTTATCAAGTCAGATGCAGTTATTAGCTCAAAAGATTTTGACATGCTCTACACAGCAGGCTCTTAGCTAGAATTGTACAAGTCTAGCAGAAAAACATGATTTTTTTTAAGAAGTAATGTTGAAAATTTATGAGCATAAGAGGAAATTACACGTTTTCATCTTTCTATAAATTTTATTTTATCTCAGATTTTATAAACCTAGTGTGGATTTGACAATCTCTCTCTTGACAAGGAAAGTTTCTATTAGTGGAAAATTTCAAGAGATAGAATAAGGGCCCCCAATTGGGCTCTTGCTTCTTAGAATAATTCATATTTTGTTGTTTCCGCCTACTTGTTTGTGATGTGGTTCTAAGATATATTCCAAGAAATTAAACATATTCTGTGTAGGTGTATATGCATATGCACATTTGTGAATATGTTCATGTGTGTTAATGTATGTGCATATATCTAAAGCTGCCAACGTTATTATGCTATAAAAACTGGAATAAAATCCAAGTAACGACTTGTTTTTGTTTCAGACTGAAGAAAGAGTTAACTAAGTCTGCAGGGTTTTTGTTGTTGTTGTTGTTGTTGTTGTTATTGTCACCTAATTATGTATTCCACACATATTTAGCGCCAACTATGTTCCAGCATTGCTCCTGGCTGTTTCTTTATGCAGCTTACATTACAGTAGTTTATCTCTATCTGGTGTTATTTCTTATTATTTCTTTAAAAGGCCTTCTCTGATTTCTCTACATCTGATCAGATTGCTCCTATTCTAAAAACGCATAGCTAGTAAAGAAATTACGTTTATCCCTGATGAAGACTTTTTATGCTCATTTTATTTTCTATACCTGTAGACTAATTTATCTATAATTCGCTTCCCTATCTCTAACCTGGGCAGAATTCTGTGTCAACAAGCATAGATGAGTTACTATACACTAAGATGAATGAATTATAGTAATGATAAAGTATCTATAAGTTTCTTTAATTATTTTAATACCATTAAAATAACTTAAATGGCTTGTTCAAAACACAGTGCCATATCCAAAACTACAACCTGGTTAACTGATTATTGATTCCATGATCTTTCCATTGAGTAGAAGGCATACAAAAATAAAATATACATGAATTTAATGTGAAAGCTATGTTTGAGTTACAACTGAGATGTGATGTTGCTTAAGTCAATGTGACATTGGTTATGTCATTTGATTTTCTGAGTCCCATAGAATTATCCATGGATGAAGACTATAACAAAATCGATTTGTAACTTGTAAACATTAATGTAATGCACAAAATTTTGTTGTAATCATAATAAGAGACATTAATTGTGATTTTTCACACTGTTAGTAATTAAATGCTGTAGAATTTATACTGATGACATTGCCTCCAAACTGAGGTCATAGACATCCCAGTGACTTGACTTTCCTATTATTTTGAACTGATTTCTGTTTGCTTTTGACTTGGTGATAAACACACTTTTACCTTAGCCATATATGTATATGGGCCCCAAATACATAAATTTATAAAAGAATTTAGAGCTAGAGGTATATATATATTTCTCTACTCAGCTTTCATTGTAACTTTTAGGGTGATTACCACTGACATATACTGATTCCTAATACTGGATATTCAGTCAGAGTCACAGCTTATTGAGTTTAAAGAGTTCCCCATAGATCCAGAGATAGCATATAAAACTGAGTTATGCATTGCTTCTTAAGTTCTTGGGTATAGCTTCAGTGAATAAAAATATTGAATAAACCTGCAACATTTAAGTAGCACTGTTTCACATCAAAGGTGACAAGGAGTAGATCAAACAAGAATGCCTTCAACATGGATGCAGCTGGACGTTATTATCCTAAGTGAATTAATGCAGAAACAGAAAACCAAATACCATGTGTTCTCACTTAAAAGTTGGAGCTAAACAACTGCTACACATGGACATAAAAATAGAAATAATTGACACTGGGTACTCCAAAAGGAGGAAGGGAGAGAGAGAGAGGCAAGGGTTGAAAAACTACCCATTGGATAGTATTTTCACTTATTGGGTGACGGATTCAAGAGAATCTCAAACCCCAACCTTATACAATATACCCATATAACAAACCTGCACATGTACTCCCTGAATCTAAATAAAATAAAATTTTAAAAAATTAGAAAGAATGCCTTCAACCACAACACTACTATCTATAATATCTAATGGTAGCCTTCGTGTTTTTAAAATGTCTTGTAGGATTATTATCAAGTTAAATGTCTGAACATTTCTCTGATATAATTTGGTAAAAGTGATTTTAAAAAGTTGAAGATACAGATATCTGTTAAGATGTGAATCAAATTGTATATTTTGGTTAGGTCAATCTGCTTAGTTTTATTTCTTTATATTTGGTTATTTTGGTTAATTTTATTTCTTTTTATAAGAAATAAATCTTCAAAATCTAAGTTTGACTGGAATCAATGCTTGACTCAGGGATACTTTTTAGTCATTAATAACTTTCATTTTGTATTAGTAGACACCTTATTGCTCACAGAGAGCTGCCATATTTGAAATCCAAAGTTTTAAGCCTCAGTAACTTTTGAGACATTTCTCCATCGGGAATTAAAGTACCTTAAAGTTCTTATGTACATTGAAGAACATTATTTTTACTTACATAATATGATTTTTATATCAGCTAAGCACGTTAAGAATATAAATTAATATTTTTTGTATATTTTCGGTTAAGTTCTCATTTCATTAATGGGGAAACTTATGTCAAGAGAATGGAGCAAATGCCCGAGATAAAATCACATCAAAGTTGGAATTTCCCATAGCTTATGGCTAATCTACTCACATAATATTGTTCTTCAATTATTTTTTCTTATCAATTATACAACTGGAGGATAACTACAGGTACCATCCTTTATGCTCTTCCTTTTTTAAACTGTTTGTATGTTATGATAGAAAATGAAAAGATACTTTGAAAACAAGAACAATTTGTTTTCTATTGTAAAAAAAAAACAATTGGTTGCAAACCCCACCCTACTGTTATAGAAAGGAGAATAAATGCTGCTTTGCAAAGTGGACCTCTGTCCTTATTTCTAATTTACATTGTGTTGTTATATTTCTTTCCCTGCTATCTCACTATTCTTGGGTTCTGCTGGAACAAGATGTGACCAGAATCTAACCAACTAGTAGCCATCCCAAATACTTCTGAAAATTCTTAGATGAGCTGTAAGAAATGTCTAGTTGAAATTCAGCTTCTCTCATTTTCCACTTACAACAGAATCTTCAAGGAATGACTACTAAAAATAGAGTTTGTTGAACTGAATTTAAGAATATTTTCTCAGGACAGTTCTCATGGCTAAAAGATGTGTACTTTCACAGTCATGGACCCGAATATCTGAAAAATCCGAACTATTTCCCAGGTCAAGAGTGAGTTAAAAATAATTTGTGGACCTGTATGTTAGAAAATATAGCATTTAACTATATATATCTTAATTGATGTGAAAGCAAGCAGAAAATATTTTCTAAATCATCTTGTCTATATAATTATTTTCACAATAATTATATATAAACAAGAGGATGAGAAAAATATCTAAGTGTTTCTGAAGACGGTTATACTTTTAAAACAATTTACTTAAGGCATTGAAGAATATGATGACTGAGAATTGCTCCACATTCTAAAAATAGTTAAGAAATAAGTAGAAACTAAAATCTCATAAGAATGAAATGAGATTAATAAAGACATATGAGACATAGGAAAGGTATAAGAAGACTAAAGAGGTAAGAACTGAGCCTATATTGGAGGTACTAAGAACTACACTTGATTCTAAAACTACAAATCAGTAGTTAAGACCATATCCAAAAATGTAATTGAGAGTAATTCAATAATGGAAGCTATGTGAGAAATGACCTATGTATTGTGAAATAAGAAAACATATACATTTGGAAGTTACATGTACCTATGGAAGAAACAAAGCAAATTATGGCAGAAAAATTAAAAATTAATTAATTAAAAATAAATAAATAAAACAAAACAAAACAAAAAAAGCAAAAGAAGGAAACAGTAAGGAAAACATTGACAGATTTAATAGCACAACAAGTTTTAAATATCTGAAAGTCAAACAATTATTTATTATGAACCAAACTGAAACTCAAATATGTGTGACGTCAGAGAGAAGTATTTTGAATACATAATGAGCTCTTGAATGACTCATAGGTTAAATTTTAAAAACGCTGTAAAAATAGTGAAGAATTATATGTATATAAATTTGCATACATAAAAGCAGTCATTTTATGTGTATATGCATAAAAGAAATATAACTTTCTTATAAATTAATTATCTTAGAATGATTAATTTATTGATGTTTTAGTTCTATTTTTCCTGATTTTGTACAATAAAAACTGAATAATTTTAAAGTCCAAAAATAATCAGAAACAAACAGATGCTATTATTTTTAAATGATGAGCCGTTAATTGACTCATAGTTAAAAATGAAGAATTTACATTAGCAAGGTTATAAAGGATGTAAAGTAATTTTCTTTAAAGGTCAATCTACTTATTCCTACTCCTATTCAATTAGTGCTTATTGGTATTTAGGTTAGCTTGACTGTATAAATAATCTCTTTGAGGAATGTGTGCTCTTCCTAAAAGTTTCAGCAAAGAGATTACCTGCTCAAAACACCAAGCCTGGGACATCCCTAACGTGTACACACATGAACCTACCTAACAGAGCTTTTTTTTTTTCTAATTTTTTTCTCCTCTTTCACTTTGACAATTTTTGTCTCTTGTGATTTCACATTCTTCAAACTATTTTTTCAATAAATCAATTCAAAGGGGAAAAAAAAGAAAAGGAAAGCTCAGAAAGTTTTCACCCAAACTACATATTTCAATGCAGTCAAGGCATCTGAAAACTGAAGGCATCCATTAAGTGAAACTCCAGACAGGTGTCAGTCAAGATATCTTTGTGCCTGATTGTTATGAGAGGCTCACAGAGCAATAGACAATATTTCACTGAAAACAAAGCCTTTGTGAAATACAAGTGTAACCTTGAATAGCTAGGGGCAGCCTGAGAATATACTCTCCACATTTTCCACTTCCATTTCAAAAATACCAGAACCACACCATTACCCTTGAGAGAGAGAGAGAGAGACCAAAGGCACAATAAAGAATTGCTGATTAACTGGAGGCCCAAGAAGACCCAGGATAGGTACGAGAGACACGGCAGGCAGCTAAATAAAGAGCAGCTGCACCAGTAGCATTTCTGTAGGACAATTTCCAGTCTTGGAATACTCTTGAACTTGATTATCAAAGTCACTTTCCTCAGAAATCTTGTCAAGGCATCTTGGCTACACCTGGATTGCCTGTGAATTTTGATGAACACCAAAGAAAAATGAAACTAGCGAGACACGAAGAAAGCTATTGAATTTTGCCCATTTCACACTTTTTACACTTTTTTCCTAATAGTGTTTCCTTAAACCAAACTAAAAGCATTGTAAGAAACATTTGTCTTAAGTTTCTGGTTTGTTACCCTCTAATTCCATTTTTATTTAGATGACAAAACCTCTCTTCTCTGTTTCTGTCACTTCTGTTATGTGTTACTTGGTAATGATTTTACCTTTTCTAGCTTTAAATAGCTTATTTCCTCAGCTCACAAGGTGGAGATTGGATCTTATGTTACTTTGTATCCCCTGAGGGACCAGTAGAGTGTCTGATATACAGAGAAGAAATAGTTGCTCATTGTTTGATTGACAGATTGATTAAGAAGATGAGAAATATTGATATGCTGCAAAAGAGTTTGTTATCACTGGCACATATTAGTGTAAAAAGAAAACTATTTAGACTATGTAAGGGATGAATACCATTCCTATCTTTACGATGGACCTTCTCTACTCTATAATGTCCTCTACTTATTTCGCTTTTCTAGAACAACCACACCGAGAATGCATAACCACAATTACAGTTCAAGTGGCATCAATATTAACAAACTAACATGCAAACTCAGGACAGTTCAGATACTGCTTTTAGAGGAGTGCCTTAAGTTTTGTTTAGTGTTTATTACAGTGTAGTTAATTCATTTTTTTCTAAGAAGGTTCTACTCATTTTAAATTCGTATTCAAATACTGTCAGCACGAATTAAAAGTCAGGAAAAGGTGCAAAGGCTAGAGGTGGTTGTTAGACCATAAAAGTATAATGTTTAAGTGCAAGTATTTTGTCATATCCAAGAGGAAGTGGAAAGCAGGACCATGGCATTTTGCTAACATATTGTAAAAGGAGATTGATGACCCAGTAATGTGATACTATAGCTACACCCAGTGTTCTTGTTTGCTTCCTTCTCCACGGATGGCCAGACAGCCTTATTCACCATCACCAATGAATATTTATAGGACACCCATTAGGTATCTTATATGTAGAGATGGATTCATACAGCATGAATGTCCCTTACCCCTTCCCTAATAAATTTTGAAAAAGCCTAGTTAATCTGAATTTCAGAATTACTCCATTGTTAGACAATTTATGCATTTTTAATTCCATACTTGACTTATTTGCTCTAGTGTAGTGATGTTTAGATTAAATGGAAGGAAAAGAGACAAACATTTGGGAAAACATGCATCTACTCCCCTTAGATTAAAAAATAATAATAATAACATCTAAAAAGAGCCCGTGCCATATCAGTACCTCTTTATAAATCAACTACAATAAGAGTTTTTATTTAAAATAAATCATATACAATAGGGCATAATTCTGTTCTCCCATAGTGGGAAAATGCACGAGCATCCACACGTAATGAGTGATCCCTAAAAAATCACCTTCTTGTTTAGATCACCTTAGAATTTGGTCTTGTCCGAGCCATTGTACAAGATAATTGAACTGTTTAATTTGCAGCTGGATTGTTTTAGTTGTTCCTTCCATCACTCATTATTGAATGATACTTAACTCCCATAAGAGTAATTTGAACAAAAATTTTATCTTTGCTTTACATTGAACTGAGCCCAGCTGCTTCATAATGAGTAAATAAACAATCTAGCACTTCAATCAGTGTTGTTCTACACCTGAAAACTGCTATGTAAACATCTCTATGCTCTGCTGCATATGTCACTTTCTTTTTCTATGGTAACTGTTTAATTAGATTGGCATGCGAGAAAGAAACTATAGACCGTTTTCTTTGAGATGGCATGAACTACATATTAGCATTAGCTCTCCCTGAATGCTGAAAAGCCTACAAGATTAGGATACACATAATGCACATTGAGAAAACAAAGTCAAAAGAGTAACAGAGACCTGATATAGTTCTGATTACAATGGGAAAAGGTTTTAGTGATTGCGCCAAAGTAAAATATGGAAAGCTCTTTTTGATTGCAGACTATTCATTAGATAGAAGATACTTTTTCTTCTAGGACATCCTATCAGCAGGATTGAGCATCATAGCTGAATTTAGGAAATTTTATTTTCAGTATAGTATACCAAACCAGAATTATTACATTTTAAATAAATTACTAATTCAGGGAAGATTAGCAACGGTGATAAAACTAGGAGTAAAAATCCCAGTAATTAGTGTTCTTTACAAATGATGAATGATAGGCCGGGCGCGGTGGCTCAGGCCTGTAATACCAGCAGTTTGGGAGGCCGAAGCGGGTGGATCACGAGGTCAGGACATCGAGTTCATCCTGGCTAACACGGTGAAACGCCGTCTCTACTAAAAATATAAAAAACAAAATTAGCCGGGCATGGTGGCGGGTGTCTGTAGTCCCAGCTCTTCGGGAGGCTGAGGCAGGAGAATGCCGAGACCCTGGGAGGCGGAGCTTGCAGTGAGCCCAGATCGCGCCACTGCACTCCAGCCTGGGTGACAGAGTGAGACTCCATCTCAAAAAAAAAAAAAAAAAGAAATAATGAATGATAGACTGGTAATATAGTGATAAAGAAAATAATTACTCTATATCAAGGAAGGCTAGCACTAACATCGGCAAAAGTTAAATTTTGTTATGTTAACTATCTTCTTATCATGATTATTTTTTACTTTAAAAGCAAGTGTAAATGAAGTTTTAATGTTGTTTTGTTCTCATAATTTTAAAATTTATTCACAGGGTATGAAATAGGCAAGGATAATAATATCCCCCAAATCTTCCAAGGGCAGATGAAATAGAAATAACAGATCTGTTGTTCAATAAATAAAACATAAAGCTTAGAAAATTAATAGATGTTTCAATTGTTTTGTTTGAAAAGTGCATTGGAATCTCATTTATTATATTATAACTGTAAGGATTTATTTGAAGAGTACCTTTCTGAAAAAATACATGGCTGTTGATTGCATATACACATCTTTCTACTGATATAATTTATATTAATTAAGATTGAATATATTTTATGCTTTATGCTGCTGAATTTTTATGGTTTTGCAGCCAAAGTCCAATTTCATTGAAAATCTAATATTAGGTGAAATGCAGGCTAAGTACAGACACTAATTACCACTCATCCCCAACCCCTCCCAGAAAAATAACACCACCACCACCAAAAAGAAAACTAGCACCAATTCCATTCAGTAGACCAGGCCAGATGAGCAATAGCAATTTTAATGAGTCAGATGAATTTCATATCTAAGGGGTATGGCCATTTATTCTGAGCTACCAACCCATGGGGAACTGTGGAAGGGTAAAACGTACATGTAATCTAGTTCTCATGCCTTCTGGGCTTTGTGTTTGATTCAGGGATGATCCTCTTATCTACCATCACAAACAGATGTCCTTTTAAAAGGGAATATAGGGGAGGGATAGCATTAGAAGAAATATCTAACGTAGATGACAGGTTGATGGGTGCAGCAAACCACCATGGCACGTGTATACCTATGTAACAAACCTGCACGTTCTGCGCATGTATCCCAGAACTTAAAGTATAATAAAAAATAAAAAATAATATAAATTAAAATAAAATGAGAATATTAAACATATTGAAGTTGGTTCAATTTCTGAGTTAAACACAGACATCTTTAAAATGAGTAAATAGCTTAGCTATATACTCTATATTTCCTCATGTTTTAATGTAGAATTATAAGATTATGAATTCTGAAACTATAAACTGTATATTTATTATTTTGTTTTATTTTGTTTTCAGTGGTATTGAGGAAGTATTTCAGACTTTAGAATGAATAAATCTGGTTGTGAATTCTACTTCTCTAAATAACTATAATTTTAGTTAATAACCTTATTGAGCCTCAGTTTAATGTTATGCAGTTTAGAAGATGAAAAAATAATTAAACCTCTGATATAGCAAGCATTCAGTAAGTGGTAGCTATTTTAAAAAGATCTCTATTTAGTAAATGCAGCTGCTGATATTTAAGAAAGTTAATAATTTAAGTATTCAAAATGTTTTCTAATTCAGGACATTTCAAGCTGTCTGTAAAGGTGGTTTTATGAGCCTGTGAAGTAGCGCACTTGTCTAAATGACCTAATAATCCTAAAATATATGGTAAAATAGTTTAATTATAAATTCTCAAGGTAAATATCATATATACATACACACACAAACACAAACGCACACACACATATATATTATATATATATATATTTGGATTATGTGTATTTGTGTGTATGTTTGTAGAATTTTAGCACCTAAAAAAGATGATAAGAAAGACATGGAGGCCTGAACCCCAAAACACAAGCAGCCTCAAGCTCTGTGGCAGTAGATGAGAACATGAAGAGTGAGGAGGAGCTCTCCCCTCTCTTGCTCTTAGCCTGCTCATATTACACCTGACACTCAATAGATAGGTGTATTAGTCTGTTTTCACACTACTGATAAAGACATATCTGAGACCGGGCAATTTACAAAGAAAGGGGTTCAACGGACTTACTGTTCTATGTGGCTATGGAGGCCTCAAAATCCTGGTGGAAGGTGAAAGGCATGTCTCACATGACAGCAGAAAAGAC
Organism: Homo sapiens; assembly: GCF_000001405.40. Classification (NCBI taxonomy): domain Eukaryota; kingdom Metazoa; phylum Chordata; class Mammalia; order Primates; family Hominidae; genus Homo; species Homo sapiens. The sequence continues at coordinate 68,162,045 of NC_000006.12, read as the reverse complement.
GAGAGCCTGTGCAGTAAAACTCCCGTTTTTAAAACCATCAGATCATATGAGACTTATTCACTATCATGAGAACAGCACAGGAAAAACCTGACCTATTGATTCAATTGCCTCCTACTGGGTCCCTCCCACAACATATGGGAATTCAAGATGGGATTTGGGTGGAGACACAGACAAACCATATCATGCCACCCCTGTCCTCTCCCAAATATCATGTCCTTACATTTAAAAACCAATCATGCCTTTCCAGCAGTCCCCCAGTCTTAATTCCTTTCAGAATTAACTCAAAAGTCTGCAGTTCAAAGTCTTATCCAAGAAAAGGCAAACCTCTTCCATCTATGAGCCTGTAAAATCAAAAGCAAGTTAGTTACTTCCTAGATACAATGGGGTACAGGCATTGGGTACATATAGCCATTGTGAATGGGAGACATTGGCCAAACGAAGGGCTACAAGCCCCATGCAAATTCAAAATGCAGTGGGGCAGTCAAATCTTAAAACTCCAAAATGATCTCCTTTAACTCCATGTCTCACACCCTGGTCGCGCTTATGCAAGAGGTGGATTCCCATGGTCTTGAGCAGCTCTACCTCTGTGGTTTTGCAGAGTACAGCCTCCCTCATGGCTGCCTTCATGGGCTGGTGTTGAGTGTCCACATCTTTTCCAGTCACACAGTGCAAGCTGTAAGTGGATCTACCATTCTGGGGTCTGGAAGATGGTGGCCTTCTTCTTATATCTCCACCAGGCAGTGCCCCAGTAGGCACTCTGTGTGGGGGCTCCCATCCCACATTTCCCTTCTGCACTGCCCTAGCAGAGGTTCTCCATGAGGGCCCCACCCCTGCAGCAAACTTCTGCCTGGACATACAGGCATTTCCCTACATCCTCTGAAATCTAGGCAGAGGTTCCCAAACATTAATTCTTGACTTCTGTGCACTCATAGGCTCAACACCACATGTAAGCTGCAAAGGCTTGAGGCTTGCACCCTCTGAAACCGTGGCCCGAGCTCTACATTGGCCCCTTTTAGCCAGGGCTGGAGTGGCTGCGGTGCAAGGCACCAAGTCCCTAGGCTGCACACAGCACAGGGACCCTGTGTCCAGCCCACAAAACCACTTTTTCCTCCTAGGTCTCCAGGCCTGTGATGGGAGGGGCTGCCATGAAGACTTCTGACATGCCCTGGGGACATTTTCCCCATTGTCTTGGTGATTAACATTGGGCTCCTCATTAGTTATGCAGATTTCTGCAGCTGGCTTGAATTTTTTCTCAGAAAATGAGATTTTCCTTTCTATCATATTGTCAGGCTGTAAATTTTTTGAACTTTTATGCTCTGCTTCCCTTATAAAACTGAATGCTTTTAACAGCACCCAAGTCATCTTTATGCTTTGCTGCTTGGAAATTTCTTCTGCCAGACACCCTAAATCATCTCTCTCAAGTTCAAATTTCCAAAAATCTCTAGGGCAGTGGCAAAATGCTGCCATTGTTTTTGCTAAAACATAACAAGAGTTACCTTTGCTCCAGTTCCCCACAAGTTCCTCATTTCTGTCTGAGATCACCTCAGCCTGGGCTTTATTGTCCACATCACTATCAGCACCTTGGTCAAAGCCATTCAACAAATCTCTAGGAAGTACCACACTTTCCCACATTTTCTTGTCTTCTTCTGAGCCCTTAAAACTGTTCCAACCTCAGCCTGTTACCCAGTTCCAATGTCACTTCCACATTTTCGGGTATCTTTTCAGCAGCGCCCCACTCTACTGTATGAATTTTCTGTATTAGTCTGTTTTCATGCTGCTGATAAAGAAATACCCAAGATTGTGCAATTTACAAAAGAGGTTTAATGGACCTACAATTCCACATGGCTGTGGAGGCCTCACAATCACAGCAGAAAGTGAAAGGTATGTCTCACATAGCAGTAGACAAGATAACAGAGCTTGCACAGGGAGACTCTCATTTTTAAAACCATCAGATCTCATGAGACTTATTCACTATCATGAGAACAGTATGGGAAAGATTTGTCCCAAAGTTTAAGTTGCCTCCCTCCGGGTCCCTCCCACAACATGTGGGAATTCAAGATGAGGTGTGGGTGGGGACACAGCCAAACCATATCAACAGGTCCATAGAGAGGGGCTGGGAGGAGCTTAGAAAGTGCACATTATCCATCTTCATCCATACTGCATTTGCTCCCCAAAGAGCTTAAGACTGAAACATACTCAATGCAGCAAACACTAGACTGGACCATAAAGCCTCCTTGATCTTAGTAGAATGGATGTGAGGCTAGCAAGCAGCTGCTCTGGCTACCCATATGTCACAGACAAATTGGATTTTTTAATAATAAAAGCAGCAGTGAAAGCATTAAGAGAACTCTTTAAACATACCTGAAACACTGTTTCTTAACAACAACGGTCATGCCTGCGAAGTCTAAAGCCACTTGTGATTTATAACCACAAAGTTTCAGTTTTCATTGACAAGATTGGAGAATCACACCTTTTTCTTCTAACTTTCCCCTCTGGATATTTCCTACAAAGTTCTAAATTTAGTAGACTATTACTATATGCTTGCAAATTTACTTCATTTATGTTAAGGAATTCTTCATCACCATAGTCATTTATTGATTATTAACAACCTTATTGTGTTATAATGTTTGTACTTTCAGAGCCTATCCCACCCATAATAACTTAAATTTTCAAAACAGTATATTTGTCCCAGAACTATAGAGACAGAAAATAATCCTAAACAAATTTGAGACTCCAATTTCCCTCTACCAGCCTATCCATCATTGAGCTTATCCATTCATGACTGACTAGTCTTTCAATATCTTACAAATTTAGACTTGGCTTGGCTTTACTTTTGTATTATTCTTTAAGCTACCATTAAAGCAGCTTTCTCCACTTTCCCCTTTCCACGTGTTTCATTTCCCCTTGAATCTAAAATAAAAGTAAAACATTGTTCGATGCTTTTATTCTAGTTCTGGGCAGAAAGTGAGGGTTCAGTATATTCTTATTAATAGATGACCTTGTTCTTCACTGAGTGATCTATTCTTCTTCTCACCTGTGATATCTCTCTAAATTTCTACTGACAAATTCTTGCCCCATGTATTTCCTTTATTTTGTTCTTATAACAAGACAGCTTTTTTTTTCTGTATAGGTAGGAAATAATCACATGATATAAGAGGTTGACATGAAAAGTTGAACTTCAATGTTTAGTGGAACTATGCAACTTGTCTAATGGAAATGTATTAATTTAAATTTATTTTGAAGCTGATAGTGGAGAAATAGAGAGTATTACTATTTATCATAGAAGCATGTGTAGAAACCATTCCTGAAGTCAGACATGTGTGTGTATGTGTATTCAAACTACTCCAGAATCTCCTTAAATTAGTAAGTTTTCTTGAGAAAAAGTCTTCAGAAATACGTTGGGAATAGACTATTAGATATCACAAAAATAAATGTCATCAGAAACATAAACAACCCCCTCAGTTGATTTAACTTTTACATCTGAGATGGTAAACAGGTATTGTTTAATTGTTGAACAATTAAACAAAGTCCCACAAGAAAAGACAGAGTGAAACCAAAGAGACTCTATGTGGGTGGTGTTTATGTAAAATGATGAGTCAAAATAACAGGTGGTGGTTGTGTGGCCAAGAGACATGTTAAGAATTAGTATACCTAGTGTTTAATTTGAAATCATATTATTTTGACATGAATATCTATTTTATTACCCCATTTTTCCTCCTTTTTTAATTTATTTTTTTGAGATGCAGTCTCACTCTGTCACCTAGGCTGGAGTGTAGTGGCTCAATTTCAGCTCACTGCACCCTCCACCTCCTGAGTTCAAGCTCACTGCACCCTCCACCTCCCGAATTCAAGTGATTCTTGTGCCTCAGCCTCCCGAGTAGCTGGGACCACAGGCACATGTTACCATGCCCAGCTAACATTTTGTATTTTTAGTAGAGACAAGATTTCGTCATTTTGGCCAGGCTGGTCTTTTTGACCTCAAGTGATCTTCCTGCCTTGCCTTGGCCTCCCAAGTGCTGGGATTACAGGCATGAGCCACCATGCCTGGCCTACCTGCCTATTTTTACTATAATTTATTTTATTTAATTCATTATGCAAATATATTGTATGGGCCACTTTGAGATTTATGTCTGAGTCAATGACATATATGCAGACAATAGATCCTAAAAGAGAACTCAGAGCCAGAGGTAATCATGACACTGTAAACTCCCTGGAAATTCACAGAACTCTTGCACAGAACTTTGAACTTCTACCAGATGTTTTGAATCACATTTAAATAGGATGATAAATTCTAGTTAACATCTGGTTTTCACCCATCTGGGACCAAATGGTGACTTTATATATGGAGGGAAATTTTTAAGTTATACTCACTCCCGAGAATTTTTTCACTTTTTTCTTTATGTCAATCATTATATCACTCCATGAAGTTCAAACATGAATGGAGTTATTGTATCTACTTTGTTCCATTATGTTAATTGTTAGGTGTGAATTTTATCAGAGTTCTTGGAGTCTTACCAAAACTGTTATAAAACCCAAATTAAAGACCATTTTCTTTTCATGACTGACCATGGTAGGTAAAATTATTGGCTTTCCACCACATCAGATGCTCTTTAACTTCTGATGGGGCTACATTCTGATAAGCCCATTTTAGGTTGAAAATATTGTAAGTCAAAAATGCATTTTCTAATCTTCTAAATGAACACTATACCTTGGCCTAGCCTCCATGATTTGTGCTCAGAACACTTACATTAGCCTAGAGTTGGGCAAAATCATCTAACACAAATATTATTTCATAATAAAGTGTCAAATATCTCATGTAATTTACTGAATACTTCACTGAATGTGAAAGACAAAAGTTGTAAGAGTACTCAAAGTACAGTGTCTACTGAATATATGTTACTTTCACATACTCATAAAGTTTAAAATCATACTAACCACTGTAAAATGGGTCCTATCTGTGGTTTGCTCAATGTTTGATTTCCCGTCCAGGTTATTCATTTGACTATACTAGTTATCTATTGCTGCATTGCAAAATAACCAAAAATGTAGTCACTTAAAACAACAAATATTTACTATCTTACAGTTTTGGTGGGTCAGGACTAAGTAGGGGGCCTCTCGCTACAGGTCTCTCACAATGCTACATTCATGCTTTTAGCCAGAGTGGCAGTCTCATCTGTATAGTCAATTGAGCAGAGTATCTAATTCCAAATTCAATTATATGGTTATTTTAAGGACTCAGTTCTTAAGAAGTTGCTGAGCTGAGGGCCTCGGTTCTTCATGGGCTGCTTTTTGAGTTTGGAGTTTCACAATAGAGAAGCTCCCAACATGGCAGCTGGCTTCTTTCACAATGAACCACTGAAATGCCTAAGAAGGTACTTAAGACAAAAGCCACATTCTTTTTGCAAGAATGTCAAGTGACATCTCAACACTTTTGTGGTATTCTATTCTTTAGAAGTAAGTCACTACATTCAGCCCACATTGAAGTAGATGAGGTTGCACAGGGTAAATAACACTAGGTGAGACCAGGATTGGGGGCCATATTAGAGGCTGCCTATGATACCGAGGAAAATAGAAACATGTTTGTATTGGAAACAATAAATCTCTAAAGTTTAGTATTCAGGAGGGAATAAAAAGCCTATTAACATAGAATTAACTAAATTGAAATTTGACTTACCATACTGTCAATTGGGATATTCTTTTCAAATACAAGAAGGTAAAAATATCTAGCGTCACGTAATTCAACAATTGGGAAGAACACAATACCTAAATTTCTGCCACCATGACATGATTATTTCACATTGCATGTCTGTATCAAAACAGCTCATGTACCCCATAAATATATACACCTACTATGTATCCACAAAAATTATTAAAAAATAATAAAAACATTTTTTAAAAAATTTGGGAAAGACACTAGAATATTAAATGTTATTTCTATTTAAAAGTATAATGTCATGTTTAATAGGAATTATATACACCCTATGCATGGCAGTAGGAAAATGTGAATCACTAAAACACATTATTTTGACCCCAGACATCTACTCAGTCAAGCTATTTTCTATTTTAATAAGCACTTGTACTCTCAGGTATTACTGGCAAGTAAAACAGAGTAACCTGCATTTATGGCTCAATTTGAGGAAGAGAGAAATCACCCTACTGTGGATAAATATGATACTATCTTGGATAGAACCTTTATTTTGGATGGTCTTAGGCCAAAAACAGATTTTCCCAGATCAGAGCAGCCACTGAAGGATTAAAGTAGATTAACTAGTTAGGATGTAGAGCCTTTTTTGTGTATTTTTTTCTTTTCAGAATGTTAGATGCCGAGTATCAAGTAGAACAGGTATGGCACCCTCTAAAAGAAGATTTAGCAAGTCATGAATTATGATCAAAAAATACTCCTAAAGAATCTTGACACACTATTATTACTATGCCTACTAAGTTACATTTTCATTGTTTATATTTCTTTGTTTCTCCTATATGCTACTATACATTTTCTGTATGCTTAACAATGTTATCAAGTCCACAAAGATTTCTCAACAAATATTAAGTAAATGAATTAATCAACATATCTTCCATAGGACTATTTCATAAATATAAAAAATATGCTTTATTCTCAAATATTTGCTTTATATGATATAATTATTTTCCTAATGTAATGTGTGGTTTAATTGCTATATCTTCCCAGAGAATGGAACACTTTATTGCTATTTAATATGTAATGCTCCTTTTTGTCCATGGTAATCATAATTGATCCAAAGTCTGACTTATCTGAAATTAATATAGCTATATCACATTTCTTTTGAGTAGTGTACATTTCTTCTTCCCTTTATTTTTAACTTACATGAGTTCTAATTATTTAAAGTGAGTTTCTGATGGACAGTATCAAGTTCTATCTTGTTTTTCCTGTTAACTCATGTATTTAGATTATTTATATTTAAAGTAACTATTGATGAGGTGGCTTCTCTCTAATTAACTACATACATTTTGAAATAATTAAGGTCCATCTTCAAATACTGCTATAACATTTCTTATGTAATGCAGATATTTTTAGAATAGTCCTAAATACACCTCCTATACTTTATGATATTGTCATTTATTCTATTTTTACATGTTATAAACATCCAAAATATTACTACTATTTTTTAAATGTTTGTTTTTTAGAGGAAATAATGATAAGAAAAATAAAAGGTTACATATTACCTTCATTTATTTTTTCCTTTTCTTACACTCTTTCTTTTATAAGGTGTCTTCAACATTCTGACATATATCATTTTCCTTCTTGTGAAGCAGGCTCACTTTGCACTGCTTACCACTTAAGCCCACTGAATTTTACACTGTAATTTATATTCTTTGCATGAGACTATTGAGATAGAACACTCACACAGGTTAAGAAAAGCAACTTCATGACTCCCAGACAGGGAGCAAGGACGGTAAAAGCCTACGGTTCAGGACAAGTACGTCCTTCAAGGCTCAAGAATGCTGCCCAGGGCAAATAAAATATTGCCTGTGCATACACCACTTGCATTGCAGTTGAAGAACCTTGAAAAGCAGCCCACCCTGAATTCTATTCCTAAGGGACGCCATAACACTTCAGGCTAAAATACTGCAGGATATCCTTTTTCTAGAAGGGACTGAAACAGAGCCCAGGCTGTTCCAACAAGTTAGTTACCCCTTATCTCAGGAGTTTTGCTTTTACATTGTTGGTGGGAATGTAAATTAGTTCAACAATTGTGGAAGACAGTGTGGCGATTCCTCAAGGATCTAGAACCAGAAATACCATTTACCCAGCAATCCCATTACTGGGTATATACCCAAAGGATTATAAATCATTCTACTACAAAGACACATGGCCGGATGTGGTGGCTCACACCTGTAATCCTAGCACTTTTGGAGGCTGAGGCAGGTGGATCACGAGGTCAGGAGTTTTGAGACCAGCCTGACCTACATGGCGAAACCCTGTCTCTACTAAAAATACAAAAATTAGCTGGGCATGGTGGCGCATGGCTGTAGTCCCAGCTACTCGGGAGGCTGAGGCAAGAGAATCACTTGAACCTGGGAGGCAGAGGTTGTGATGAGCTGAGATCACACCATTGCACTCTAGACTGGGCAAGAAGAGCAAAACTCCCCATCTCAAAAAAAAAAAAAAAAGAAAGACACATGCACATGTATGTTCATTGCAGCACTGTTCACAATAGCAATGACTTGGAAACAACCCAAATGCCCATCAATGATAGGCTGGATAAAGAAAATGTAGCACATATGCATCATGGAATACTACGCAGTCATAAAAAAGGATGAGTTCATGTCCTTTGGAGGAACATGAGTGAAGCTGGAAACCATCATTCTCAGCAAACTAACACAAGAACAGAAAACCAAACACTGCATGTTCTCACTCATAAGTGGGAGTTGAACAATGAGAACACGTGGACACAGGGAGGAGAACATCACACACCAGGGCATATCAGGGAGTGGGGGACTAGGAGAGGGGTAGCATTAGGAGAAATACCTAATGTAGGAGACGGATTGAAGGGAGGAACAACACACCAGGGCACATGTATAGCTATGTAACAAACCTGCATGCTCTACACATGTACCCCAGAACTTTAAAGTATAATAGTAATAATAAAAAAATTAAAAAGCATTTGCATTTTCTACACATTCTACAGTTACTCTTGAAAACAACATTAGAGAACAGTGGGAGAACAGGGCTGGTTTAAGGTTACCTAGAAAACTCTTCTGCCTGAAGATCTTTTAACGTTTATTGTAGGTCAAGTCTGCTGGCAATGCATTTTCCTAATTTTTGTGTGCTGAATATGGTAGACTGAAAAATGTCCCTCTCAAATATGTCTGTGTTCTAATTCCCAGACCTGTGAATATGTTACCCTGCATAGAGAAATAATTTAGCAAATGCAATTAAGTTAAGGTTCTTGAGATGGGGGGAGGGAGGTTTATCCTGGGTTATCTGTGTGAGCCCTATGTAATTTTTTTTTTTTTTTTTTGAGATGAAGGTTCATCATTGTTGCCCAGGTTAGAATGCAATGGCATGATCTTGACTCACTGCAACCTCCACCTCTCTGGTTCAAGCAATTCTCCTACATAAGCCTCCCGAGTAGCCGGGATTACAGGCACCTGCCACCATGCCCGGCTAATTTTTGTATTTTTAGTAGAGATGGGTTTCACCATGTTGGCCAGGCTGGTCATGAACTCCTGACCTCAGGTGATCCACCCACTTCAGTCTCCCAAGGACGCCTGGCCCTATGTAATCTTAAGTGACCTTATAAGAGGGAGACAAGAAATCAGAGAGGATTGAAGGCACTGAACTGCTGGCTTTGAACACAAAATAATAGATCATGAGCCAAAGAATGCAGGTGGTGTCTAACAGCTGGAAAGGCAAAATAATGGGTTTTCCCCTCAAGCCCTCAGAAGGAATGTAGCCCTGTTGACACCTTGCTTTTAGACTTCTGAACTTCAGAACTGCAAGAGAATAGATGTGTGTTGTTTTAACTACTATATTTGTTATAACAGAAACAAGAATTTAACACACTGGGAATGTCTCCTTTATTTATCGTAGATATTTTCACTGAATGAGAAATTCCGGGTTAGCAGATTTTTTCTTTTTCTTTTCTTTTTTTTTTTTTTTTGAGACAGAGTCTTGCTCTGTTGCTCTGTTGCCCAGGTTGGAGTGCAGTGGCACAATCGTGGCTCACTGCAAGCTCCACCTCCCGGGTACAGGCCATTCTCCTGCCTCAGCCTCCCAAGTAGCTAGGACTACATGTGCCCACCACCACCCCCGGCTAATTTTTTTGCATTTTTAGTAGAGACAGGGTTTCACTGTGTTAGCCAGGGTGGTCTCGATCTCCTGACCTTGTGATCTGCCCATCTCAGCCTCCCAAAGTGCTGGGATTACAGGCGTGAGCCACCATGCCTGGCTTATTTTTCTTTAAAAATATTAGGTTTTACTTTCTTCTTAATTACATGGTTTCTGAGAAATTCATTTTAATTTTTATTCATGTTGCTCTGAAGATGTGGGTTTGATTTTCCTCTTCTGGCTGGCTTCAACAATTTCTCTTTGTCCTGTAGTTTGAAAAGTATGGATGTTCTTTTCTTGTTTATTTAGTTTAGTTGTTGTTTTTGTTGATATTTATCCTACTTGGTGTTCTCTGAACTTCCTAAATTTCTGACTTAGTTAATGTCATTAATACTTCAATTATTACATCAAATATTTCTTCTGTCTCATTCCATTTTTTTCCATCTGGTATTCCAATTAAATGTATGCACACTGCTTGATATTGTTCCACAATTCTTAGATTTTCTATTTTTTCATATTTTTTCTCTTTGTGTTTCTGTTTAGCAATTTCTGTTGATATATTGAAGTTCACTGAATTATTTCCTTGGCTGTGTTGGGTCTACTGATGAGCACTTTCAAGACATTCTTCTTTTCTTTTACTATGTTTTTTATATAAAGATTTATTTTATATTCTGTATTATTTTAATCTCTAAGTAGATATATATTCTACATTTGATGTTGCATGTTTTATACATTCTCAATTAGAACCTTTAATATATCAATCATAGTTACTTTAAATTTTTTTTCTGATAGTTCTAACTCCTGTTTCATATCTAAATATGCTTCTGATGATTGTTTTATTTATAAGACTGTTTTGGTATGTTTTTTAAATTGATAAACATGCATGCATATATCAATAGATATGGGCTTCAGTGTGAGAATGTTAAAATGTCCTGGAGTTGGGTTGGACTGTGTTTGATGTTTCTTAAACTATGGATGTCAGACATTTCAAATGCCTCAAGTGACCTTGTTCTTAGCTCTAGATTTAAAAACATATTAGTTCTGGGACTTTGCTTTGTACTCTCTCATAGTTTTCTAAGCTACAATCCACTGTTATTATTACTGGATGCTTATTAACTTGGTGGTAGACTGTGGACATGGGTCTTTAGTCTTCTGATTAAGTCTCGGGCTTTACAGTGCACAGTGGGCCTATATCTCAAGGATATGGCCTCATAAATCTTTCTGTTCCTCACAAGATTTTTTGTTACCCCTCCAGATGGTAGGCCTTTTTCCATGTACTTCTTAATTAACTCCTTGGCTACAGTGGGTGTTCTCAAGTATTCATTGTCTTTCTCCTGTGTTCTTTACTTTTCAATGTTGTATGAGAGAGCATAAACCTTGGGAGATGTGTTGGGGTAAAAGGAGCAGAGGAAACATGAGCAAAACAACTTGGTAGGATTGGGGAGCACCTTAGATTGTCAGTGAAAATCTTATGGGAAGCATGAAGGAAGGATCTGAGTTTTAGACGACAGAAGGGAGTTGTCAAAAATGAAGACTATATGGGGAGAAAATGGCTTTATCAAGTTTAAATCTGGAGAGAAATTTTACTGTTCTTTTTCTATTGTTATGAAAAAAGTATAAAAATTATTTTAAAATCACTCCAAGTTCTATCTCTATTAAATAATACATTTATTTGAATTATATATATTTTGACTGCTCATTTGAGAGACTAACGAATATAGACATTTTTTCATATTCCAAAGACCATCTGTCAATTACTAGGTAGTTATTCAACTTTAAATGAGTTATTCTCTTTTTTTTTCTTATAATCTTTTCTGGATTTGAGAGTGTGACTGAGGTAGGATGAGATGAGATAGGGCATCCTGTATTTTTACTGTGATTTTGTCATCTCCAAACCTTGCTAACAATACTCTCATGTTCGCTGTCCTCACACCGGGTTCCCCTGTATTTTCAGTGACTGCACCATTATATACATTTGTTATTGATCATCTGTGAACTTCTTTATACTAATGCTCATCTTTGGCTGCAGTTTACTTTTAGCAATTTTCTTCCAGTTAGAGGTATGTCATAGTTGATAAAGTTGACAAGTTTGCATTATTTTTTCTTTAACTTCTCTACCTGTTGTGACATAGATAGTTGTCCGAATAAGAACATTTTCTATCCTCCAGTAGTTTACTAAAATGCCTAGATTAAATTTCTCTAATCAGTCAATGGACTTTTCATGAGTCTTAAACGTTCAGAGATATTTGTATTTTGCTAAGATCTAAGGAGGTATACACATATTCTCAATATCTTCCATTGTTTTGTTTTAAATACAACTATATTAAAAGATTACTCATAGTTTCCTTTTTGTAATAATGGTTGTGTACTACAATAAATTATCTTTAGCAATTTTTCTTTTTATAGAGTGTTTAGATATGAAAAGTGAGAATAGGGATAAAAAGTTATTACGTCTTTTATCTTTATTTAAAAGTTTCAGAAAATATTCCTGAATGGTTGAAATGATGATGGAAGCATGTTAAGTCGTTCTCTTTTACCATCTTTTTTTTCCTTCAACCAAACAACTAGATTAACAAATGGTATAACTAAGCTTTTCATCTTTAAATTTATGTTTGTCTAAGATCACAAGTACTCGCTTCTTTAAAATAAATAGACAAAAGGCCACAGGTACTGGCTTTTATTAAAAAAAAACAGTCTAATGAGTTCTGAGAAACAAATAAATAAACTGAAGTGCCTTTAAAATGTTTTTCTAATGCCTTTAAACTATTAAAATATAGTGGACATTTAGATCTTCCTCAATAAAAAAACAATCTTTTTTAAAATGTGAATCCTTATTTTTTATATTTATAATTTATATTTCTAATATAGAAATAGTGGTCTTACATTAGCTGAAACTTTAAAAATAAATAATTTTTAAGTAGAATTCAGGATTCAGTGTTATATTAAAAATATATAAGGCAAGAAGTTTGAAAAAACTAAATCAAAGTTTGTTTAGATTAAATGTATTATTTCTAAATAAAGAAGATAAGAAACAAAAAGTCATTTTTATGATGAAATGCATTTCTTATCATTAGCTAAGATATGTGCTTGTAAGTTCATGATGTTAAGCTTATATTTTTGTATTATCAATATATCTACTTCGTCACTTAGGAAGAACATCTCAGAATTCTAGAGGTTAAATTAATTTTTTTTATAATAAAAGGCTGTAAAACATGATATGATGGCTCAGAGATGTCAAGTTCAATATGATATAAATGTCTTAAAGTTGTAAGATCATATTTAAAAATGCAGCCATGCATTTTATAAAAATATCTTATAATGCTTGTAAAATGTGCAGTTATTCTCATGAGTGATATATTCTGTATGTATAGAGGTCACAAAAAACTATCTGGCAGGCACTGTTCCAATGGTATAATAATAAAATAGTATTTAGGAAAGCACTGTTTTTCCCCCCAAATTAAGTACATTGTATTATTAAATTTCGTTGCTGACTTTACGAAAATTGTACACTGAAGCTGAAAACCAAACCAAGACAATAACAGTTGAAAATAATGTAATGCACTTAGATAAATAGCTGTTTTCTATTTTCCTTGCAAACTGGAAAATAAAAATGAATATACAAACGTTTTCTTATCGAGCATGAGATTTTAAGTTCTACAATAATATGTATTTAAATAAGGAGGCAGGAATTACAGTTTTATCATCAAGAGGGACGTTAGTTTGCTTCTCGACAATTTATTTCAATGAACATGTATTTTGCATATATTAGGTCAAACATATTCTAAATTCTGGTAAAATAGAGATGAATTATACATATTTCAAGGTCTATCTATGTACCTATCTATTTATCTATCATCTATCTATCTACCTCTTGTTCTCAAAACATCCACAGACTAGTAAGAAATACACAGATAAGCTAACAGTGCAAAGAATGTAAGAGAACAGGAGTAAAAGAAATGCAAAGGAGGGACACAAAACTTCAGCAGGTTGGAAAGATTTTGAAGCCAGTAGATTATGGATGGGTGGAAGGCATGCAAATTAGAATGAGATTGGAGAGAGAGCAAAATGGAAAAGACTGCAAGAGTCCACATAATGAGGAGATCTTTGGTTAGGCTGATACTCAAGACAAGAGAAATAAAACAGTTTGAGAGGACAGTAAGATTTAATCTCAGGATTTACAATGAGATAAATATTTGTCTTCATGAGAAACGACACTTACTACCATCTTCCAAGTTTTTATTCATATTGTATGGAAAGGTTTGGTAGTTGTGTCATTAACTGATTCAGACTGTAAGTAAAGGGTCAGAGTTTTGGTGACAAATATCAATTATTTAGCACTTTGAGAATATTTATTGAGAAACCATTTTGTGCATGACTTTTGATTCATTTTCAAATCTACAGAGATGAAAACATAGTAATTGTCCTCAAGGGCCTCTCAGAATAATGATAATGATGATAATTGATGATGATGATGATACTATTGTTATTATTTTTTACATATATAGTATTATTATTTTATAGATAACATTTAAATAGCTATTAATATAGATTAGCTCACTTAATCTCCTTAAAATGTCTATAAAGTAAGTACTAATACTACCCTCTGTTACAGCAGAGAGAACTGAAGCACAGAGAAATCATTTGCCAAATATTATACAACCAGTGAGTGGCAAAGTCAGAATTCAACATTGAAAGTCTGGTACCAGGTTCCATCCTCTTAATAATTTAATAAGTAAAAACAAATAAGATAAATAGGATATAAGCTGTGGCTACGTAAAGTTGAATGGATTCTATGGTGGCTCAAATAAGAGGACAGTTAATTCAGTCTGCAGACATTCCCTGATGAAGGGGAAGTCTGACATTGTTCCCTGCTAAAGGGGAAATTTGACATTGCTTCTGACAATCAAAGAATATGTAGTCATAAGAATAAAGATGGAGTTAACAGTTTGAGTCAAGAGGTCTTCAGTACAAAACACAAAACCATACAACTTGCAAAAAGTAACAGTGAAAAATTACAGAGCTTGTGATGCACATGGTTAGTTGCAAGAAATGAAACATTTGAGATTAGCCAGGCAGGCAAGAAATCTACAAATTTCATTATAAACAAAATGGAGGATCCAATGAAGGGTGTTCTGAGTAATTTTAACGTGTAGATACAATTCTATTTTTAAAAATTAAAATCATCTTGTTTTTATAGAAAATAGCAACTAACCACAATTTTAATAGAAAGTATTAAAAATACTTTTGGAGTCTGAGGTGAAATGAGATGGTGAAATAGAAGGCTCTACTGATCGTCCTCCCTGCAAGGACACTAATTTAACACACTTTTCAAAAGAAAACATACAGGTGGCCAACAATCATATGAAAAAAGCTCAATATCACTGATCGTTAGAGAAATGCAAATCAAAGCCACAATGGGATATCATCTAATCCCAGTCAGAATGGCTATTATCAAAAAGTGAAAAAATAACAGATGCTGATGAGGTTGTGAAAGAAAAGGAATGCTAATACATTGTTGGTGAGAGTGTAAATTAGTTCAGCCATTGTGGGAGACAATGTGGCAATTCCTCAAAGACCTAAAGGCAGAAATACCATTTGATCTAGCAATCCAATTACTGGGTATATGCCAAAAGGAATATGAATTATTCTAATATAAACACAAATGCACAAAAGCAAAGACACGAAATTATCCAATTTATAAACCGATGATAGACTGGATGAAGAAAATGTGGTACATATATGCTATGGAACACTATGCATCCATAAAAAAGAATGAGATTATGTTGCAGGGACATGGATGAAACTGAAGGCCACTATCCTTAACAAGCTAACACAGAAACAGAAAACCAAATACTGCATGTTTTCATTCATAAGTGGAAGCTAAATGATGAAAAGAGGGACATGTAGAGGGAAACAGCAGGCACTAGGGCCTACCAGAGCATGGAGGCGGGAAGGAGGGAGAGCATCAGGAAAAATAAATAATGGGTACTAGGCTTAATACCTGGGTGATGAAATAATCTGTACAGCAAACCCCCATGAAACAAGTTTACCTATGTAACAAAACTGCACTTGTACCACTGAGCTTAACATTAAAAAAAAATTATCTACACACACATACACACACACACACACACACACAACACCAGAACATCTTCATAAGAACCAAAAATAAGGTAGGCACTCACAGTACCTAGTTTTAACTTTATATCACTTAATGAAGAAATGAGGAGGTAGAACACACCATCTTGAATAGCTGACCTCAACCCCTTTCATGCCCCAGAAGCAGAGGTATGGTTCACAGAGCATTTCCATGCACTGGGGGTTGGAGAGCACAGAGAGCAATTGTGAGACATTGAACTTGCTGCTGTCCTGTTATAGCAGAAAGAAAAACCAGATCAAACTCAGCTGACACCCACCCATAGAGGGAACATTTAAACCAGCTCTGGCCAGACAGGAATCATTGATCACAGCGTCAGAATGTGAGTTCCTATAAGCCTTGTCATTGGAGCTACAGTGCTCTGGGGCTCTAAATAAACTTGAAAGGCAGTGTAGGCCAAAAGGACTGCAAGTCCTAGGTGAGTCCTAGTGCTTAAATGGACCCAAAGCCAGTAGACTGGGGCAGGGGGTGGCACATGACTTACCGAGACACCAGCTGGGGTGGCTAAGGGATTGTTGGCATCAACCCTCTCCTAATCCCAGATTGCACAGCTTGCAACTCCAAAAGAAACTTCTTTATGCTTAAGGAGAGGATAAGGAAGAGAGGAGAGGATTTTGTCTTGCATCTTGCATACCAGCTTAGCCACAGCAAGATAGGGCAATGGTCAGAGTCATGAGACACCGTTTCCAGATTCTAACTCTCAAATCACACTTTTGGACACACCCTGGGCCAGAAGGGAACCTGCTGCCTTGAAGGAAAGAACTCCTGTCAGCATTCATCACCTGCTAACTGAAGAGTGTTTGGGCCATGAATAGCCAGCAACAACACCCAGGTACTACATCGAGGGCCTTGGATGAGACTCTGAGACTTGCTAGCTTCAGATGAGGCTCAGCATATTCCCAGTTGTGATGGCTACGGGACAAGACCCTCTCTGCTTGAGAAAAGCAGATGGAAATGTAAAAGGGATGTTGTCTTGCACCTTAGGTGCCAGCTCAGCCAGAGAATTGTAGAGCATTAAGCAAACTCTTGGGGTCTGTAATTCTGGGACTTGGTTCCTAGACAGCATTTCTAGACCTTCCCTGTGCTGGAGAGGAGCCCAATGTCCTGAAGAGTGAGTCCCAAGACAGGCAGCCTTCACCACAAGCAGACTGAAAAGCCCTTGGGCCTTCAGGGAACATTGGCTGGTAATCTGGCAGTACTCCTCACTGCCTGGAGTGGCAGTGGCTACAAGATAAGGCTCCTCTGCCTTTGGAATGGGGAGGGATCAGTAAAAAGAGCTGCATCTTGTGGTTTGAGTGCCAGCTTAGCTGCAGTAAACAGAACACCAGAAAGATTAAGATTTTTGACTCCAGTCCCTGACTAGTCTGGACCCACCTGGCTCCTGAGGGAACTCACCTCCATGAAAGAAAGGGCACAAGCCAGACTGGCTTTTCCACCTGTTGTTTGTGGAACCACATGACCTTGAATTAACATAGGTGGTAGCCAGGGAGTGGTTACAGTAGGCCTTGGGCAAGCCAGTGCTGTGCTGGCTTCAGGTCTGATCCAGTGCAGTCATAATGGAAGTGGCCAAAATGGTGGTTGCGTCACTCCGCCCCCAGCTTCAGGTGGCTCAGAACAGAGAGAGGGGCTCTGTTTGTTTGGGAGAAAGTAAGGGGAGAGAATAATAGTCTCTACCTGGTAATCCAGAGAATTGTCCCAGATCTTGTCCAACACCATCAAGGCAGTACCTCTACGAGTTTGCAAGAACCACAACATTATTGGGTGTGAGGTGGACCCTAAAGCCAATAGAGATTAGATCACAACACCCAAGTGCTTTAGAGTATCTAGAAAGCCTTCTCAAGAAGGATGAATGCAAGCAAGCCCAGACTCTGAAGACTACCATAAGTACCTAACTCTTCAATGCCGAGACACAGATGAACACCTACAAGTGTCAAGACAATCCAGAAAAACAAGACCTTACAAATTAAACTAAATAAGCTAACAGAGACCAATACTAGAGAAACAGAGAATGTGACCTTTCAGACAGAGGATTCAAAATAGCTATTTTGAAAAAACACAAAGAAATTCAAGATAACACAGAAAAGGAATTCAGAGTCTATCAGACAATGTTAACAAAGAGACTGAAATAATAAAAAAGAATCAAGCAGAAATTCTGGAGCTTAAAAATGTAATTGGCATACAGACAAATCCATCAAGGTATTTAGTAACAGAATTGATCAGGCAGAAGAAAGAATTAGTGAGCTTGAAGACAGGCTATTTTAAAATACATAGAGGAAGAAAAGAAACAAAAAAAGAAGAAAAAATAATAAAATATTCTGACAGGATTTAGAAAATATCCTCAAAAGGGCAAATCTAATACTCATTGGCCTTAAAGAAGAAGAAGAAAAAGAAATTGGGGTAGAAAGTGTATTCACAGGGATAATAACAGAGAAGATCTTAAACCTACAAAAAAGATATCAATACCCTAGTACAAAAAGGTTATAGACACCAAGCAGATTTAACCCAAAAAGGACTATCTCAAGGCATTTAGTAATCAAACTCCCAAAGATCAAGGATAACGAAAGCATCCTGAAAACAGCAAGAGAAAAGAAACAAATAACATATTATACAATGGAGTTTCAATACATCTGGCAGCAGACTTTTCAGTGGAAATCTTACAACCCAGGAGACAGTGTGGCAAGATAAATTTAAAGAGCTGAAAAAAAAAAAAAAAAAGAATTAGCCTAGAAGAGTATATCTGGCAAAAAATACCTTTCTTTTTTTTTTTTTTTTTTTTTGAGACGGAGTCTTGCTCTTTCACCCAGGCTGGAGTGCAGTGGCGGGATCTCCGCTCAATACAACCTCCGCCTCCCAGGTTCACGCCATTCTCCTGCCTCAGCCTCCTGAGTAGCTGGGACTACAGGCACCTGTCACCACGCCCAGCTAATTTTTTGTATTTTTAGTAGAGACTGGGTTTCACCGTGTCAGCCAGGATGGTCTCCATCTCCTGACCTTGCGATCTGCCCGCCTCGGCCTCCCAAAGTGCTGGGATTACAGGCATGAGCCACTGTGTTGGGCTGGTCAAAAATACCTTCCAAATATGAAGGATAAATAAAGGCTTCTCCAGACAAACAAATGCTGAGGGATTTCAACAGAAGACCTGTCCTATGAGAAATGCTAAAGAAAGTACTTCAATCAGAAACAAAATGGTGTTAATGAGCAATAAGTAATTACCTAAAGGTAAAAAAACTCACTGGTAATAGGAAGTACACAGAAAAACACAGAATAGTATAACACTATATATGTGGGATGTAAGTTACTCTTAACCTAAGTGGAAAGACTAAACAATGACCCAATCAAAAATAATAACAACAACTTTTGAAGACATAGTAGAGTAAGATACAAATAGAAACAACAAAAAAGTTAAAAATCAGGAGGACAAAGTTAAGTCATAGTTTTATTAGTTTTCTTTTTGCTAGTTTGTTCGCTTGTTTAGAGAGTGCTAAGTTGTCATCAGCTTAAAATAATAGGTTGCAAGATATTATTTGCAAGCTTCCTGGTAACCTCAAACCAAAAAACATACAACAGATACAAAAAAATAAAAATAAAAAGCCAGAAGTATAATCTATCACCAGAAAAAATTACTTTCACTAAAGGAAGACAGGAGGGAAAGAACGAAGAAAAGAAGACTGCAAAACAACCAGAAAACAAATAACAAAATGGCAGGGGTAAGTCCTTAATTATCAATAATAAGATTAGATTTAAATGAACCAAACTCTCCAATCAAAAGCCAGAGTGGCTGAAAGGATAAATAAAGAAGACCCATTGACCTGTGACCTGCAAGAAAAATATTTTACCTATAAAGACACACACAGATTAAATAAAGAAATGGAAAAATATATTCCATGTTAATGAAAATTGAGAAAGCAGGAGTAGTTATACTTATATCAGAAAAAATAGATTTCAAGACAAAATCCACAAAAAAAGACCCAAAAAAGTCACTATATAATGATACAGGGGTGAATTAAGTAAGAGGATATAACTGTAGAGCATCTGATTTTGTCGCTGTTTGGGGTGCCACTCGTAGCCTGGTGGACTGAACAAAGGGAGCGAATGTGGGAATAAAAGACAAAGACAAGAGAGTATACTTGGAAGAAGGGGTCAGGGGCCACCTTGCCTCTAGTGGACAAGGGCCCTGAGCTTTTTCAGCCCTCCGAATTTATTAGGTAGAAGAGATAATGAGAAAGGTGGGGTGATTGTTGGGTAATTGTCAGTCAGCTGTTTTGTTCACAGCAGCCTTGTGAGACTGCATCCTTCGAACAATAGGCACTAGATTTCTCAGTAGATAATTTCAAGGAGCCTGGTGCCAGGGAGTGATGGCCCTCAGCAAACCTCCTGGCAGCAGGCGCAGACGTGAGTTTGCTCACATCCTGCATTCATGATAAACAGTTTGCTGTTTGATCATATAGCCATTCATGATAAACAGTTTGCTGTTTGATCATATAGCCTCCAGTGGAATGCTGAGTTGGCCACAGTCCCTTTGGCTTTTTCGGCTCCCAACACATAACAATTGTAAATATATATGCACCCAACACTGGAGCACCCAAATATATAAAATATTATTAGAGCTAAAGACAATACAATAAAAACTGGAGACTTCACCTCCCACTTTCAGCACTGGACAGATCTTCCAGACAGAAAATCAACAAAGAAACATCAGACTTAATCTGCACTATAGACAAAATGAATCTTGTGATGGTTAATATTAGGTATCAACTTGATAGGATTGAAGGATTTCTAGAAGGCTGATAAAGTATTGTTTCTGGGTATATCTGTGAGGGTGTTGCCAGAGAATGTTGAGATTTGAGTTGATCTACAAGGAGAGAAAGACCCACCTTTAATGTAGGTGGGAACCATCCAATCAGTTGCCTGTAGTGCTAGGACAGGGTAGTCAGAAAAAGTTAGGATAACCTTGCTTGCTGGGTTTTCTTGCTTTTTTTTTCTTCTCATGCCAGATGCTTGTTTCTGCTCCTCCTGCCCTTGAACATGAGACTCCAGGTTCTCTGGACTTTGAACTCTTGGACTTGTGTCAGTGGCTTCCCCAAGATATCTCAAGCCTTTGGCTGCAGACTGAAGGTTGCTCTGCCACCTTTCCTGCTTTTAAGTCATTCAGATTTAGATTGAGCCATTACCAGTTTCTCTCTTTTAAAAAAGAGATGGCCTATTGTGGGGCTCTGCCTTATAATTTAATGAGTCAGTTTTCTCAATACACACCCTTGTGAAGCAGAATCATTGTCTGCGGTAAATACCTGAGGTTCGTTGTCTCACACCAAGGGAATCAAGGATGCAGACACACATGAGTAGTAAGTTTAGGAGTGGAGGTTTATTAGGCAAAAGAAAGAGAAAGGAGAACAGCTCTCTCTCCTGTGAGAGAGAGTGGTACCCTCACAGGAATTCCAGCCCACAGCAGAGTGAACCGGATTTTATAGACAGGCTTGACAAGGTGGTGGCTGATTTACATAGGGCCCAAAGATTGGTTGGACCAGGTGTGACATTTACAAAGTGCGTGAGGAAACTGGCTGCCCCCATCCTAATCTTATTATGCAAATGGAGTCTTTGTTTGGCTGTTGCCATGTTGCCGGCTCCTTACTGTACATGTGGCTGGCAAAGAGTAGGGATGATGGAGCCACCATGTTGGACATGCCTATCCCCAGTTATTGGCCCAGCTGCCAGCATTCATCTGTGCAAGTTTCTAGCTTGCCTATGTCTGCAGCTTGATTTTGTAGGCTGCTCTTTGTTAGAAAATAAATGATTTGGGGGCTATTTTTATTAAAAGGAAAACCTTACCAAGGACTTCCTTACCCTCACTATCTGCCTTAATAATTTCTTCTTAACAACTATATAATTTCATATATACACATATGCTATTGGTTCTGTTCTTCTGGATAACCCTGAGTAATACAGAATTTGGTACCAGAAGTTGTTCTAGAGAAGCAGAATTTTAAGGATGGATTTCCTTAGTTCATTTTGGGGTTTCTTGAGAGGGCTTTCTAATCTGATTAGACTTACCAATGCTAAGGACTCTATTTTTAATAGTACCAAGAGCACTGATAGTCCTTGGTGTGCATTGTTTAGAGAGTTGTGCAAAATAAATGCATTTGATACTTCTAATTCACCATTCCCGAGCCGCAGGTTTAGTCACTCTATACATAATATCTTTGAACATTTGTGGAGAACCAATAACTATAATGAAGTTCATTGGTTGCTCCTAAGTTTGCTGGACAAAGTGATGAAATAAAAGGATGAGCTCAGGGATATATCTCCCAGCTGTAAAAGCATATGTTTAGCCTCAAAGCTTCTAAGGGTACCCTGGTGAGACTCTTATTTTTTTGGAGACAAAGGGCTGAAATTGCTGAAATTCAGACACAAGCTTGAGTGGCTGACCTAAAACAATAGGTGCATACTCAGCCTTGCCATATGTCCACTGTTTAAAGTGGCGGCTTTGATTGGGAAAAAAATGGGTCCCTGTAACTTGGAATAGTTATGTGTGGGAGGACCCTGATGAAGCTGGGGACACTAAGCTTCTAAATTCTGATGAGCCTTTTTTTTTTTTTTTTCTAGAGGAAATGGCCTCCCCCCATTCCCCCTGTGGTGGCAATTTTCCTCTGCCTCATACAGGCTGTTATCAGCCTTTTTACCTTTGTCTGACAAGATTAACTCTGCATTGCATGAGCGAAGAACAATAGCCTCCCCTGAGGCAGCTGCTAGGCAACACAATGCTGATTCTCTTCAGGACCCACTCCCACCACCCCTGTAACTAGATTCAAGTTCCAGCAGCCCTGTGGTGGTGAGGTACAGTGTGACCCATGAGAAGGTGTGCTACACTCCAAATGAATGATCTGAGTTTTCTAATTTATATAAGCAGAAACCTACAGAATAGTTATGGAAATGGATATTAAGGGGCTGAGAGAATGGTGGTAGAAACATAAAATTGGATCAGGCTGAATTTATTGATATGGGCCCACTAACCAGAGATTCTGCATTTAAAGTTGCAGTTTGGGGAGTTAAACAAGGTTCTAATAGTTTATTTGCTTGGTTAGCTGAAAATTGATCAAAACATTGCCCACTTTGAGTGAACTGGACATGCCTAATCTCCCTTGGTTTAATGTAGAGGAAAGGGTCCAAAGACTTAGAAAGATTAGAATGTTAGAGTGGATTTGTAACTTTAGACCTACTGCCCCAACTGGGAGGATCCTGAAGACATACACTTCACCAATACCTTGCAAAATAAATTTGTGAGGGGAGAACCAGAATTTTTGACATTTGTGACATTTTCTCTGTATGTCAGATCTTACAGTGGGAACCACAGTGACTTAACTGGAAAACTTAAATGCAATGGAAATAATTGGATCCCTAGGTAGCAGGGGCCAAGTGGTGTCACTCTACTATCAAAGGCAAGGGGGGCATATTTATGATAATGAACAGCAGAGGCAAAGCAACAGTCAGAATAGTCTGACTCATATAGAGCTCTGGCATTGGCTAATTAATCATGGCCTTCCTAGAAGGAAAATTGATGAGAAGCCTACTGTGTTTTTATCTGAGTTGTGTAAGCAGAAAACTTTCAGGTCAAGTGGACTGAAGTCTAATTTGAATGATAAAAACAGAATCACAGCCATTCTATCAATTTCCAGGCTTGAGCAGTTTACAGACCCAGAACACTTTCAGTGAAGGTAAGGACAGGTCTTCTTGAGAAGGACCCCACTACACTACCACAAATTTATACTGTTAATCATTCTCCCATCCTTCCCCAAGAAGACTTCCATCCTTTTACCAGGGTCACTATACACTGGAGGAAAGGGGAATAAGAAGACCTTTCAAGTACTAGTGGCCACTGGCTCTGAACTGACATTGATTTCAGGGGACTGAAAATATTATTGTGGGTTATGGAAGTAACCCACAATTAGGGACTTATGGAAGTCAGGTAACTAATGGAATTTTAGCTCAGGTCTGACTTATAGTGGCTCCAGTAGATCCATGGACACATCCTGTGGGCATTTCCCCAATGCCAAAATACATAATTGGAATAGACATACTTAGCAGCTGGCAGAATCCCCACATTGGTTCTCTGACATAAAGGGTTAGGGTTACTGTGGTGGGAAAGACCAAAAGGAAGCCATTAGAGCTGCCTCTACCTGGAAAAATAGTAAATCAAAAACAATATTGCATTCCTGAAGGGATTGCATATATTAGTGCCACTACCAAGGACTTCAAAGATGCAGGGGTGTAATCCCCACTACATCCCTGTTCAAATCTCCTATTTGGCCTATGCAGAAGACAGATGGATCTTTGAGAATAGCAGGGAATTATGGTAAGTTTAACAAAGTGGTGACTCAAATTGCAGTTGCTCTACCAGATGTGGCTTCATTGCTTGAGCCAATTAACATATTTCCAGGTACCTGATATGCAGTTATTGATTTGGCAAACGACTTTCTCTCCATCCCTGTCCCTAAGTCCCACAAGAAGCAATTTGCCTTTAGTTGACAAGGCCGGCAATATACCTTCACAGTCCTCCCTCAGGGGTATATCAACTCTCCACCCATATGTCATAAGTTTGTTCACTGAGATCTTGATTGCTTTTCCCTTCTACAAGATATTACACTAGTCCGTTACATTGATGACATCATGGACCCAATGGACCCATTGAGTGAGAAGCAGAAACCACTCTGAACTTATTGGTGTGAAATTTCCATGTCAAGGGATGGAAAACAAATTTGGCTAAAATTTAGGGGACTTCAAGCTCAGTAAAACTTCTAAGGGTTCAATGGTGTGGGGCCTGTTGAGATATTCCTTCTATGGCAAAAAATAAGTTGTTGGATTTGGCCCCTCCTAAAATCATGATAAAACACAATGCCTAGTGGGCCTATTTGTATTTTGGAGGCACCACATTCTTCATTTAGGTGTGTTACTCTGGCCCATTTTTTGAGAAGGCTGATAGTTTTGAGTGGGGCCTAAAATAGGAGAAGGCTCAGCAACAGGTCCAGGCTGCTGTGCAAGCTGCTCTGCCACTTGAGCCATATGACCCAGCAGATCCAATAGGGTTTGAGGTGTCAGTGACAGATAACAATGCTGTTGGGAGCCTTTGACAGGCCCCCATAGGTGAATCACAGAAGCGGCCTCTAGAATTTTGTAGTAAGGCTCTACCATCTTCTGCAGATAACTAGTCTCCTTTAGAGAGATAGCTCTTGGCCTGCTACTGGGCCTTGGTAGAAATTGATGTTTGACTATGGATTATTAAATTGTCATTTGACCTAAATTGCCTATAATGACCTGGGTGCTTTCTGATCCATCTAGCCATAAAGTTGGGTGTACAAAGCAGCATTCAACAATCAAATGGAAGTAGAATATATTTAATTGGGCTTGAGCAGGTCCTGAAGGCACAAGCAAGCTACATGAGGAAGTGGCTAAAATGCCCATGGTCTTCACTCCTGCCACTCTGCCTTCTCTCTCCCAGCTTGCACCTTTGGCCTCATGGGGAGTTTCCTATGATTAGTTGATAGAAGAAGAGAAGACTAGAACCTGACTTACAGATGGTTCTGCATGATATGCAGACACCACCTGAAAGTAAACAGCTGTAGCACTACAACCCCTTTCAGGGATGTCCCTGAAGGACAGTGGTGAAGGGAAATTTTCCCAGTTAACAAAACTTCGAGCACTGCACCTGGTTGTGCACTTTAGTTGAAGTAGAAATGGCCTAATGTGTGACAGTATACTGATTCATGGGTGGTAGCCAATGGTTTGGCTGGATGATCAGGGACTTAGAAAGAATGTAATTGGAAAATTAGGGACAAAGACATTTGGGTCAAAGGTATGTGTATGGACCTGTCTGAGTAGTCAAAAACCGTGAAGGAGTCTCATGTGAATGCTCACCAAAGGGCAACTTCAGAAGAGGAGGATTTTAATAATCAAATGGATAAAATGGCCCATTCTGTGGCCACCACTCAGCTTCTTTCTCCAGCCACCTCTGCCATCACTCAATGGGCTCCTAAATAAAGTGGCCATGGTGGCAGGGATGGAGGTTATGTGTGGACTCAGTACTATGGACTTTTACTTACAAAGGCTGACCTTTCTAATGCCACCACTGGACACTACTGGACACCACTGGGTGTCCAATCCACCTACATCAGAAACCAATACTGAACACTTGATATGGGACCATTTCTCAGGGTGGTCAACCACCTACGTGGTGGCAGCTTTGTTACACTGGAACTCTTTCATTATAGAAGAGGCAGTTGTTTGTCCTTACTGAAATAGACATTTACTTAGAATATAATTTTGCCTTTCCAGCATACAATACTTCCACCAATACTATCATCAGTGGACTCACAGAATCCCTCAGCCACTGCCATGACATTCCACATGGCATTACCTCTGACCAAGGAACTCATTTCACAGACAAAGAAGTGTGGCAGTTGGCTCATGCTTACGGCATTCACTAGTCTTATCATCTCCCCATTATTCTGAAGCAGCTGGCTTGAAAGAATGGTGTAATGGTCTTTTGAAGTCACAATTACAATGCCAACCAAGTGACAATACTTTGCAGGGTTGGGGCAGAGTTCTCCAGAAGGCTATGTATGTTCTGAATCAGCAGCTGTTATATGGTACTGTTTCTCCCATAGCCAGAATTCAGGAGTCCAAGAATCAAGGGCTGGAAGTGGAAGTGGCATCACTCACCATTACTCCACGTTGATCTGCTAGCAAAATGTTTGCTTCCTCTTCCTGCAACATTGTGTTCTGCTGGCCTAGAGGTCTTAGTTCCAGGAGAGACACAACAATGATTTCATTGAACTGTAAGTTAAGACTGCCCTGTGACCACTTTGGGCTCCTCTTGTCTTTAAGTCAACAGGTTATTAAGGGAGTTACAGTGTTAGCTGGGGTGATTGACCCAAACTATCAAGAAGAAATCAGACTACCACTCTGCAATGGAGGTAAGGAAGAGAATGTCTGGAATACAAGAGAACCCTTAGGGTATCTGTTAGTATTACCATACCCTGTGATTCAGGTCAACGGGAAACTACGACAACCCAATCCAGTCAGGACTACAAATGACTCAGAGCCCCCAGGAATGAAAGTCTGGGTTACTCCACCAGATAAAAAGCCACGACCAGCCAAAGTGCTTGCTTAAGGCAAAGGAAATAAAAAATGAGAAACAGAAGAAGGTAGTTATCAGTATCCGCTGTGACCATGTGACCAGTTACAGAAATGGGGACTATAATTGTCATCAGTATTTCCTCCTTATTTTGTTAAGAATATGTTTGTGCATATATATACCTCAACTAAGAAAATATTTTTATTTTATTTCTTTTTGTATTTCTTTATCATGTAACATAAGACTTACTGACTTCATATCGGCATTTAAATGTTGGTAATTTTATGTAACAGCATTCAAGTTAAGAATTGGTGCATTTTTAATTACATAAAGGATAGTTGTATTATGTTAGGCACAAATATGACCTTATTATTATTTTCATTTGAAGAGTAAGTATGATTTAAGGAGATCTGTATGGATGCCAAGTTGACAAGGGGTGGATTTGTGATGGTTAATATTAGCTGTCAACTTGATTGGATTGAGGGTTGTTTAGATGGCTGGTAAAGCATTGTTTCTGGGTGTGCCTGTGAGTGTGTTGCCAGAGGAGATTGATATTTGAGTTGGTGTCCTGGGAGAGGAAGATACATCTTCAATGTAGTTGGGCACAATTTGCACAATTTGGTGCAGATAAAACAAGGCAGGCTGAAAAAGGTAGAATAACTTTGCTTGCTGGATCTTCTGAATTTTTTTCTTCTTTTCGTGGTGAATGGTTGCTTCTGCTCCTTCTTCCCTTGGACATCAGACTTCAGGTTCTCTGGACTTTGGACTCCAGGACTTGCACCTGTGGCTTCCCCAGGGCTTTTGAGCCTTCGGCCACAGCCTGAAGGCTGCACTGTTAGCTTTCTTAGTTTTAAGGCTTTTGGACTTGAACTGAGCCATTACTGTCCTCTCTTGTTTCCCAGCTTGCAGATGGCCTGTAGTGAGACTTTGCCTTGTAATTTAGTAAGCTAATTCTCCCTAATAAACTCCCTTATGTATATACATGTATCCTATTTGTTCTGTCTCTCTGTAAAACCCTAATACAGATCTAATAGATATTTACAGAACCTTTTTATCCAACAGCTACAGAATACACAATCTTCTCTTCACAAGGATTATCCTCAAGGATAGGCCATACGTTAGGTCACAAAATAAGTCTTAAAACATTTACAAAAATTGAAATAATACCAAGCATCTTCTTTGACCACAATGAAATAAAACTACAAATTAATAACAAGAGGAATTTTGGAAGTCATACAAATACATGAAAATTAAGGCCGGGCGCAGTGGCTCATGCCTGTAATCCCAGCACTTTGGGAGGCCAAGGTGGGCGGATCACGAGGTCAGGAGATGGAGACCATCCTGGCTAACACGGTGAAACCCCGTCACTACTAAAAATACAAAAAAAAAAAATTAGCCGGGCGTGGTGGCAGGTGCTTGTAGTCCCAGCTACTGGGGAGGCTGAAGCATAAGAATGGCGTGAACCCAGGAGGCGGAACTTTCATTGAGCCGAGATCGCACTATTGCACTCCATCCTGGGAAACAGAGTGAGACTCCGTCTCAAAAAAAAAAAAAAAAAAGAAAAAGAAAATTAAACGACATACTCTTGAATGACCAATGGGTCAATGAAGAAAAAATAAATAAAAAGTTTATTAAAACAAATGAAAATGGAAACACAACATATCAAAACCTATGGGATACAGAAAAAGCTGTACTCAGATGGAAATAAATAAAGTGCCTACATAAAAAAAAACCTCAAATAAACAATCTAACAATGTACTTTAAAGAACTAAAAAAGCAAGAGCAAAACAAACCCAAAATTGGTACAAGGAAAGTAATAATAAATATCAAAGCAGAAATAAATGAAACTGAAATAAAGAATACAAAGATCAATGAGACAAAAAATGGTTTTTTGAAATAAAACAAAACTGGCAAAACTTTAGCCAGATTAAGAAAAAAACAAAGATCTGAATAAATGAAATCAGAAATAAAAAAGGAGACATTGCAACTGATACTACAGAAATTCAAAGGATTATTCATGGCTACTATGAACAACCATATGCCAATAAATTAGATAATCTAGAAGAAACGGACAAATTCCTGGGTACATACAACCTACCCAGATTGAACCATGATAAAATACAAAACCTGCACAGACCAATAATGAGTAACAAAATCAGAGCCATAATAAAAAGTATCCTAGTAAAGAAAAGCCCAGTATCTGATGGCTTCCCTGCTAATTTATACTAAGCATATAAAGAAGAGCTAGTATCAATCATATTCAAACCATTCTGAAAAACAGAGGTGAAGAAAATCTTTCCAAATTCATTCTATGTGGCCAGTACTGCTCTGATAAAAAAACCAGACAAAGATACATCAACAAACAAGCAAACAAACAAACAGAAAACTGCAGGGCAAAATCACTGATAGTTATTCATGCAAAAATTCTCAACAAAACACTAGCAAACTAAATTCAACAATATATTGAAAAAATCATTCCTCATGACCAGGTGAGATTTATCCCTGGGATACAAGGATGATAAACATACACAACCAGTCAATGTGATAAACCCCATACAAACAGAATGATGGACAAAAACCCTCTGATAATTTCAATTGATTCTGAAAAAGAATTTGATAAAAATTCAACATCACTATATGATAAAAACCCTCAGAAGCCTGGGTATAGAAAGAACACATATCAACATAACAAAAGTCCTATTTTTCAGAACCACAGCTAGTACCACACAGAATGAGGAAAAACTGAAAGCCTTTCCTGTAAGATCTACTATATGATAAGGATACACACCGTCACCACTGTTATACAACACTATGTTGGAAATTTTAACTAGGACAATCAGACAAGAGAAAGAAATGGAAGCCATTCAAATTGGAAAAGAAGAAGTCAAATTACCTTTGTTTGCAGATGATATATTCTTATATTTTGAAAAACCTAAAAACTGTACCAATAAACTATAATAACTGAAAACAAATTCAGTAAAGTTGCAGAATACAGCATCAACATACGAAATTAGTAGCATTTCTACATGCCAACAGTGAACAATGTGAAAAAGAAATTTTAAAATGTCCCTCTTATAATGCCTAAACATGAAATTAAATACCTAGGAATTAAATTGACCAAATAAGTGAAAAACCTCTATAATGAAAACTATAAAACACTGATAAAACAAATGGAAGAGGAACAAAAATAAAAATAAAGACAAATCTCATGTTAATGAATTAAAAGCATCAGTACTGTTAAAATGTCCATACTACCTAAAGCAATCTACAGAGTCAATGCAATCCATATCAAAGTACCGATGACGTCTTTGCAGAAATAGAAAAAGCAACTCTAAAATTTATATGAAACTACAAAAGATCCAGAATGGCCACAGCTATTCTAAGCAAAAAGAACAAAACCAGAGGAATCACATTACCCGACTTCAAATTATACTATAAGGATAATGTAATCAAAACAGCGTGGTCCTGACATAAAAACAAACACATAGACCAATGAAATAGAATAGAGAACACAGAAACACATCCACACACTGACAGGGTAGTCATTTTTGACAAAGATGCCAAGATCACTCACTGGGGAATAAGTACTTTTAATAAATGATGCTGGGAAAACTGAACATCCATGTGTAGAAAAATGAAACTAGACCACTGTCTCCTGCCATTTACAAAAGACAGACCAAAACGGATTAAACACTTAAATACTAGACCTTGAGCTACGAAACTACTACAAGAAAACACCGGGGAAACTCTCCAGGACATTGGCCTGGGCAAAGATTTCCTGAGTAATACCCCACGAGCACAGGCAACCAAAGCAAACATGGACAAATGGGATCACATTAAGCAAGAAAGATTCTGCACAACAAAGCAAACATTCAACAAAGAGAAGAGGCAACCCAAAGAATCGGAGAAAATATTTGCAAACTACCCATCTGATGAGAGATTAATAACTATAACACATAAGGAGTGCAAACAATTCTATTGAAAAAAATCTAATATTCTGATCAAAAATGGGCAAAAGATTTGAATACACATTTCTCATAAGAAGACATACAAAGGGAAAACAGGCATATGAAAAGGTGCTCAACATCATTGATCATCAGAGAAATTTAAATAAAAACTATAATGAGATATCATCTTACCTCGTTTAAAATGGCTTATATCCAAAAGACAGGCAAAAACAGATGTTGGTGAGGATGTGGTGAAAAGAGAATCCTTGTACGATATTGGTGGGAATGTAAATTAATACGACCACTGTGGAGAACAGTTTGGAGATACCTCAAACAACTAAAAATATAGCTATAACATGGTCCAGCAATCTCATCCCTGAATATATATCCAAAACAAAATAAATCAGTATATCAAAGAGATATCTGCACTCCCACGTTTGTGTCAGCATCATTCATAATACGCAAGATTTAGAAGCAAGCTACGTGTCCCTCAACAGATGAATGGGTAAAGAAAATATGATACATATAGATACTGAAGTACTATCAGCCACAAAATAACGAGATGCTGTCATTTTCAACAATGTTGATGTAATTGAAGATTATTATGTTAAGAGAAATAAGCCTGGCACAGAAAGGCAAGCCTCACATGCTCTCACTTATTTGTAGGATTTACAAATCAAAATAACTGAACTTATGGTGATAGTGAGTAGAAGGATGGCGACCACAAGCTGGCAAGGGTAGTGTGGGTGTGGGGATGTGGGGATGTTTAATAGGTACTATATAGATAGGTAGAAAGGGTGAATAAGACCTAGTGTTTGATAGCACAACAGGGTGACTATAGTCAATAATAACTTAATTGTACATTTTGAAATAATTTAGAGAGTGTAATTGGATTGTTTGTAATACAAAAGATAAATGCCTGAGGGGATAAATATCCCACTTTCCATGATGTGATGATTATGTATTGCACACTTGTGTGAAACCATCTCATGTACACCATAAATATATACACCTACTATGTTTTCACATAAATTAAAAATAAAAATTTAATACGTGAAAATATTTTTTAAAATTTTAGTACTATAATTCACCAGTTATTTTGATTTTGTCTTGATGAGGAAATAGATCAGATTAGACAGTAGGGAAATTTGGGTATCCCAATGATATACATTTTATAAATATCATTTTTGTCAGATTCTCTAAAGCTTATATTTATCTTATGTTATAAATTTATATTAATTGCTAACATACATAAGGGTATAAATTCTAAATCCACCTTCAATACTACTTGTAGCTTTACTATACCAAGGTTATATGTAAGAATGTAATTAATTAGAAACTATCAGTATTACTATAGAGCTTTCAATCTATTCTCTGGATGCATATCTAGCTATACAACAAACTACATTGTGTAAGGGCAATGCAAAGGTTCAAAAATGTATGGTAATTCAAATAATAAAGATAGCTAGAGATCCACTTTAGATTAGTAAAATGAGACATAATAAAATTATAGCAAGAGAAAAATGTGCAGAGGAGGTGACTTCAAACACCCACCCCTCCACATCAACATTTAAAAAAAAGGTAGAAACAGTCAGAACCAACATTATCAAAACTCTGAAAACAGTCAAATATTTACACCCAAGCAAATGCTACATCAAGGAAAAGCTGGCTTAAAAATGATTGGAAAGTCTGGGCACGGTGGCTCACGCCTGCAATCCCAGCTCTTTGGGAGGCCGAGAGAGGTGAATCACGAGGTCAGGAGATTGAGACCATCCTGGCTAAGACGGTGAAACCCCGTCTCTACTAAATACACAAAAAATTAGCTGGGGGTGGTGGCGGGCACCTGTAGTGCCTGCTACTTGGGAAGCTGAGGCAGGAGAATGGCATGAACCCAGGAGGCGGAGCTTGCAGTGAGCCGAGATGATGCCACTGTACTCCTGCCTGGGCGACAGATTGAGACTCTGTCTCAAAAAAAAAAATGGAATAAAAATAAAAATAAAATAATAATAAAAAGATAGGAAAGCTTTGTGGCATTTTTACATCCCCTTGTATTAATGGCTTCACAGATCATCAGTTTAGCTGCCCATGTTCTGGGTGTGGGACCCTGGTCTGAGGTTCTGGAGAGAGCATAGCAAACTGTTCACAATTTTTATGTTTGTCTTTTCTAACCTGTTAAGAAACTACCTGAAATTCTAATGTATCTAAAATATCTAAAGTATCTAAAGATACTTTTCTCTGTTTCACCTAGTATGAACACCCTTAGGGTAGAAAAGCAGTAGTTATTTCATAAAAATATTGTAAGGTTAATAAAAAACTTAACAATGATCAGGAGCAGAAGATTATAGTTGAGTTATATAACAGACAACGTAAAGCTTGGAAGGCAAAGCTGTGGAGTTTCTTTGGAATATCAGGGCATTCAAAAGCACCTGTGTATACTAGTGATTTTAAAATTCTGTACCTCTATTGGGACAGGATGTATTGCCAGAAAATAAAAAATTTTTTAAAAAACTAAGTTTTTACAATTAGCTAATCTCTATGTTCAATGCAAGCAGGAAATGAAACATAAAGCATAAGTATAAATCATTTGGACAGGTGCTAAGAGTATCTCAGCACAGAGACAATTGTCAAAAACTGGGAGAGGTATGTATTATTTTGTTTTGTTGTTTTACCTCCTGGTATTTAAAAAAATCTTTATCAAGAAAGTAGTTGAACACGAGCTAAAGAAATCAAGACTTCAGTAGAAACTTCAAAAACCACATACAACGTGGATTATAATCTTTACAAAAATAGTTTGGAGAAGTCACTAAATAGACAACTGCACACTACAGCAATAAAGCATAGCAAATTCTAGGGGACAGGAAGAATCATTTGTCTTTAATATGTTCAAAGACCTAAATAAAACCAATGCACAGGAAGTAAAAGAAAGAATAAAACAACATATTCACAAACTAAGAATACCAATAAGGAGAAATAAATTTAAAAAGGAAACAAATAAAAGTTCTGTAGTTGAACATACTAACATTAAAGTGAAAATTTTACTCTAGAGATTCTACAGCATGTTACAACAAGCAGAAGGAAGAATAAATGTACTTCAGGATAACATAACCGAAATAATTCAGCCTGAAGAACAGAAAGTAAAACAGAATGAAGAAAAGTGAACAGAGACTAAGGGACCAGTGAGGTGCCTTCAAATTGAACGATTTACTCATATGGGAGGTCCAGAAGAAAAAGAGACTGAGAAAAGGGTGAAAAAAAAATTGACTAAATAATGACCCAAAAAAACTTCAGAAACTTGATAATAGACAAAAATTTACACATCAAAGAAGCTCAACAGCCTCCAAGCTTCGTGAACTCAAAGAGATCCACCTCGAAATACATTATAGATCAAACAAAAGACAAAAACAGAAAATCGTGAAAGCAACAAAAGAAAAGTGCTCATCAGTTAAAAGAAATTCTTGAAATAATTTATAGCTGACTTCTCATAAAAAACCATGGAGGACAGAAGGAAGTAGGATGACATGTTTAAAGTAATAAGGTAAAAATACTAACAACAAAGACTTCTATATCTGGTCAAAATAAAGATGAGTTTAAGATACTTGCACATAGACAAAATGTGACAGAGACTGTTTTATTAATGGATGTGCTCTACAAGAAATGTTTAAGGAAGTCATTTGGTCATTTGAGCCAGTAGCAGCTTTGCAACTTGCTGGACAGAGCTCTGAGGGACAACTGAAACCCTCTCTGCCACTGTCTCTGCAGCAGATCTGCCCTTGCTACCCCTGGACTAACAAAGGAGCAAAGACGCTAAGAGCCTTATCCACACCTCCAAAAAAACGGCAGTCGACCCAAGGAGAGGAGACCAGTCCATCTCCCATATGTCCCACCACCCACCCATTCGTCACCAGATAGGGAACCCTTGTCTTGGGCCCACAGTGCAGACCCTCCATCCTAAGATGATTGCACTGAGAAATTGATGATGTGCATGTCTCTGGGGTGGAGCTCCCAGGAGACAAGCAAAAACCCTTGGCTACAATTATTACTGGATTTCCTTCTTCTGCCGTCCCCGTGTTCAGAAAGAGACATAAACTGGGAGATCACCCCAGAGCTCCAGTGGGCAGCCTAGGAGTCACAATCTATAGCCAACACCCAAAGGGGAGAAACACCCACACTTTAAGGACATTGAGAGGAAACATTGCTGCAACTGTGGAAAAGCATAGGGGAGCCACACAACTGAGCAAGAGTCTACCAACTGACGAATATGCCCAAGGGCAAATTACTGGATCACACCCCAAAGCTTCAACACCAAAAAAACCTCACTAACATACCCCCCTCTGAAACCAAAAACAAGAAGTTAGCTTCAAATAAAGACCCTGCACAATGCATCAGCCCTGTGAAAACATTCAGTAGTCTATTGACTGTACTCCGCCTGCACTGCAGCTAAAGAAACACCCACATGCAGAGATGTGACTCAATTCAAGAACTCCAGTAACTTAAATGGCCAGAGTGTTGTACATCCTCCAAATGACTGCATCAGTTCTCCATCAAGAGTTCTGAGCCAGGCTGAGCTGGCTGAAATGACAGAAATAGAATTCAGAATAGGGATGTTTTCACCAACAACTTTGTTACCGGGACTTATGTTTTAATTAAAGTAACTAAATAAATATTTATTTATTTTTATCTAGTATATATTAGACATTTTAATTAAAATAACTAAATAAATATTTATTTATTTTATATATAATGTTTATTATATATCAATATATAATTATTACTTATATAATATTTATTCACAAACAGAATAATAGTTATAAAAACTCTTACTGTAAGCTCAATGCATGCAAAGTATATTCTAGGCAGGTGGAGTATTAGTTTAATTTCAGAATCAGATGCCATGAAATGAAATCCCTAAGAAAAAAAATAGGACACAGGAATTGACTGAGTCAGCCTAAATAATTATGTGAAAGAAAATAACTCATTGGTTCATCTGATTTTGATGTAACACTCAGGCAAAGTTGGAGATGTCTATTCAATATATCTAAATAACTCACATATATCGCCATACATTTCATAATTTTTTTCATCTTTTATTATTATTAACAAAGTTTATGGTGTATCTTTAGACAGTGACAATTGAAGACTGTAGAATTCTCCTTTGGATGGTGGATTTTTAATTACAGTCATTAAAATACAAGCTGACATGTCTAGATTATGGACTGTTAATTGTGATAAATTAGATGTTATTTATCTGCTTCTAGGCTACAGATTCCGATTCATTTACACACACTGATGAATCTGTTTATGTTGAAATATTTTAAAGTAAACAACAGAAAA
Organism: Homo sapiens; assembly: GCF_000001405.40. Classification (NCBI taxonomy): domain Eukaryota; kingdom Metazoa; phylum Chordata; class Mammalia; order Primates; family Hominidae; genus Homo; species Homo sapiens. Next base: position 68,125,674 of record NC_000006.12, on the reverse strand, counting down.
TAGCAGTCTTTACTGTTAATGATGACAGTTGCAACACCTTTCAGAGGCTTCTCTTTCATCATGGACTTCTATGTTCGCACTGGGTGGAAAGGGATAAGATTATGAGAATATGCGAAAAAGTCTATCAGTGAAAAACTGGAGATAACATTTAAAATCACTTTTATTCTAGGACATTTCCTTAGCTGTAGATATTCTGGGGATAGTGATTCCTAATATGCCCATTCTGATGCCTATTTCTTCTCATGTTCTTTTTTAAAGATAGGATATCAGGGGCAGAATATTGTCTTATCATTTGTTCTATTGTACGTTGTGTGCAGAAGAAAAAGATTAGCAGAGTAATTATAGGTAGAGTGACCACAGAATTTATTGACTAAGTTCCAATATTTGACAGTAAAAAGGGAGTGTTAGTAATCAAAATGACAGAAAAAAAGTTGTAAACTAAGCCTATCCCAAACAAAATTTTGACGTATGATCACTTTTGGTTATGGGCAAAGGATGATCAGATTGAGAAAAGATAAAGGCTCTTAATTATACTTTATAATCTAATATAGATCTGTTAATAAAAATTTCGATTTATCAAATTAAAATTTCTATTTCCCAATGACTGAAAAATAAAAATAATAATCCATGAGAATTCAATAAAATTACTTAAATATTTACAAATGTTATAGATATTTAAGCAAAATTATTTATATAGTAAATAGAGATAAGTAAATTAGGCATACATTTATTGCAATGGATACATGCAATGACCATTAGAAAATGAGCCTAACTTGAGAAAAATAAAAATAAACAAATGACAACCAAAATGAAATATATATTGGTAAATAGCCTAGACATTCAATTTTAACAGTAAATTAAAATAATACAAAGTGAAAATGAAGTAGTATTTGCTAAAACTAAGGATTACTTCAGTATCTATACAATCAACTATTTATTTGTTTGTATGCCAGTCTTTGTGCCTATTTATAAAGAAAGATAAAACTAACAGTAAAGTTTTTAATAAAAATAATTACAAGGAGGCTTATGAGCTCTTACCTAAAATAATCTTTCTGTAGCCTAAAGTCATTAATTAATTTAATTTAAAAGTAGTAAAAATGTTATAAAATATATAGATTAGGCAGTACATAAATAAAAGTCATTTTATACATTGTAAATTGATAAAATCCAAATAATTAAAACAAAATAGTATAAAAGTAAAAAAAAATACAAGACAAAAAATGCATGGGTAGTTCAAAAATGGATTAAACTGCAAGGCTTCATAATATATAATTTTGTTGTAGAATGTTCACAAGCATTGTGTTTCATAATTTTTCTTCAAAGGAAATGAAACTTTAAACAAGATGTTGCCAATATAGAATATGATTCACATTATAAACTTGACTTTTATTTCATTTGTAGAGTTTTATTTTTAAGGCACTTTTAACATATTTTATGTAAATTCCCTCCAACCTGAAACACATACCATCAGAAGATACCTAGTGTAAATGCACAATAATATGATCTATATTAAAATGTATATAATAACATTAGAGGTCATGCCTTATACAGAATAATGTATTAAAGTATATTCTGTGATAAGCCAACCAGTTTATTTACAATATTTGAATTAGCTTTATATTTGAAAACATTTATGAATCCAGAATTTATTGTTTTTTGAGAGACAGAGTATTGGTTACAATAGACAAAGTTTGATGTAGGAAACTTCCTCAAATCTCAGTGGTTTTATACAAAGTATTTTGTGTTAGTTTATTTCTCAGTATCTTTATAAAAACTAATTTGTAATTGTTTGTTTATTCTTTGGTCTCCCTGGTCACAATAACTGAAGAAGAGACAGGTGGAGTTTTGCTCTACTTCACCAACAGGTGACACATGTCATCATCAACCCAGACCATTAGCTCAAGAAAATAATATTTCTGCCTATCTCTGCTAGCATTAGAAAATGAGAGGAGCAGATGTAAACAGAAGGTTTAAAAGAAGCTGTGAATTGGTGTGGTTTCTTATTCTTTAATTCACTACATGTGTGATCCTGGACTAGCCATGTAATTACTTAAACCTCATATTCCTCATCTATAAAATAAATAGAATGAACCTGAATGATATTTATTTCCTGCTCACATGTAAAGTTCAGTGATGACAATATGTAAATTAATAAATAATATGTAAATGAGTGAGGAAGGCTGTGTTACAATAAATCTTTACTTATAGACAAAGCAATGAGCTAGATTTGACTCATAAGCCATAGTTTGACAACTTTTGATCTAGAATAGTTTCTGTTGAATAGGTAGCTGATATGGTTTGGCTTTGACCCCACCCAAATCTCATCTTGAATTGTAGCTCCCATAATCCCCATGTGTCCTGGAAGGGACCTGGTGGGAGGTAATTGAATCATGGGGTTGGAGGGATTTCCTCTGCTGTTCTTGTAATAGCGAATAAGCCTCACAAAATCTGATGGCTTTATAAAGGGCAGTTCCCCTGCACATGCTTTCTTGCCTGCTGCCATGTAAGACATGCCTTTGCTCCCTCTTTGCCTTCCACCGTGATTGTGAGGCCTCTCCAGCCATGTGGAACTGTGAGTCCATTAAACCTCTTTTTCTTTATAAATTACCAAGTCTCAGATATGTCTTTGTTAGCAGCATGAGAACATGCAAATACATTTAATTGGTACCAGGTAGTGGGGCACTGCTGTAAAGATACCTGAAAACATGGAAGCAACTTTGGAACTGAGTAACAGGAAGAGGTTGGAATAGCTTGGAGGGCTCAGAGGAAGACAGGAAAATGTGGGAAAGTTTGAAATTTCCTAGAGACTTGTTTGAAATTTCCTAGAGGCCTCAGAAAACAAGAAGATGTGGGAAAGTTTGCAACTTTTTAGAGACTTGTTGAATGGCTTTGACCAAAATGCTGATAGAGATATAGAAAACGAAGTCCAGGCTGCCGTGATCTTAGATGGAAATGAGGAACTTGTCAGGAACTGGAATAAAGGTGACTCATACTATGTTTCAGCAAAAAGACTGACAATATTTTGCTCCTTCCCTAGAGATCTGTGGAACTTTGAACTTCAGATAGATGATGTAGGATATCTGGCAGAGGAAATTTCTATGCAGCAATGCATTCAAGAGGTAACTAGTGTGCTCTTTGAAGCACTCAGTTTTGTTCATCACAAAGTATGGTTTGGAATTGGAACTTATGTTGAAAAGGGAAGCAGAGCATAAAAGTTCAGAAAATTTGCAGCCTGACAATACAATAGAAAAGGAAAACCCATTTTCTCAGGAGAAATTCAAGCTGGCTGTAGACATTTGCATCAATAATAAGGAGCCAAATGATTATAACCAAGACAATGGGAAAAATGTCTCTAGGGCATGCCAGTGGTCTTCATGGCAGCCCCTCCCATTATAGGCCCAGAGGCCTAGGAGGACAAAATGGTTTCATAGGCTGGCCCCGGGGCCTTGGTGCTTTGTGCAGTCTCAGGATTTGGTTCCCCTCATCCCAGCCATGGCTAAAAGGGGCCAAATTATAGCTTGGGCTGTGGCTTCACAGACTGAAAGCCCCAAGCCTTGGCAGCTTACACGTGGTGTTGGCCCTGTGGGTGTGCAGAAGTAAAGTATTGAGGTTTGGAAACCTCTGCCTAGATTTTAGAGAATGTGTGGAAATGTCTGGATGTCCAAGCAAAAGTCTGTTGCAGGGATGGAGCCATCATGGAGAACCTCTGCTAGGGAGGTGTGGAAGGGAAATGTGGGATTGGAGCCTCCACACAGAGTACCCACTGGAGAACTGCCTAGTGGAGCTGTGAGAAGAGGGCTGCCATTCTCCAGACCCCAGAATGGTAGATCCACTGACAGCTTCCACCGTGCGCCTGGAAAAGCAGCAGAGTAGATACTGAATGCCAGCCTGTCAAAGAAGCTTGGAGGGGGCTGTACTTTGCAAAGCCACAAGGGCAGAGCTGCCTGAGATCATGGGAATCCACCACTTGCATCAGCATGACCTGGATGTAATACATGCCGTCAAAGGAGATTGTTTTGGAACTTTAAGGTTTAATGACTGCACTATTGGATTTCAGATTCGCATGAGACCTCTAGCCCTTTGTTTTGGCCAATTTCTCCTATTTGGAATGGATGTATTTGCCCAATGCCTGTACCCCCATTGTATCTAGGAAGTAACTAACTTGCTTTTGATTTTACAGGCATAGGCAGAAGGGGTTTGCTTTGTCTCAGATGAGTCTTTGGACTTGGACTTTTTGGTTAATGCTGGAATGAGTTAAGACTTTGGGGGACTGTTGAAACCATGATCATGTTTTGAAATTTGATATCATGAGATCTGGGAGGGGTCAGGGATGGAATTATATGGTTTGGTTGTGTCCCCACACAAATCTCATCTTGAATTGTAGCTCCCATAATCCCCACGTGTCCCGGGAGTGATCTGGTTGGAGGTAATATAATCATGGGGCCAGGTTTTTCCTATGCTGTTCTTGTGATAGTGAATAAGTCTCATGATACCTGATGGTTTTATAAAGGGCAGTTCCCCTGCACATGCTCTCTTCCCTGCCACCATGTAAGACATGCCTTTGCTCCTCTTTTGCCTTCTGCTGCAATTGTGAGGCCTCCCCAGTCATGTGGAACTGTGAGTCCATTAAACCTCTTTTTTATTATTTAAATTACCCAGTTTTCAGTATGTCTTTATTAGCAGCATGAGAACAGACAAATACAGGAGCACTTTGTTTCTCTCTTCCTACACTAGTTAAATCCTCAAAAACAATTTAATATGTTAAATTAAAATTTTCTAATGTAACAGAAATAAGATGAAAGAAATTTTCCAAGTTTTGGAGAACTTGTACACTCATCCATACCTCTTGTATTTTCTGTTTACAAATCCTAATGATGTCACCTCCAGTGTAATAGTGATCCAGCAATACTGTTTATAAAAGCATGTTTTTAAAAATATACTATTAGAAAGAGCATATGTAGTACAGATTCAAAAGCTTAGAGATCCTAAGATTATGGCAAAGAAGTTGATTATATATAAAATTAGTAATATAAGTTGTAGGTAAAGATAGTATATGTAGGGTAGAATCTATAATACTAAGGCAAATAATCTATCAAAACAAGGAGCCCAGATGTTTGGATTGATGGAAAGATGGTGAGAATAGAATGTTTGTTTAAAAAGCGGAGGCTTTCTAATGCAGCAGAGACTCTAAGCTTCCTTGCATTATTATTATTATTAATTATTATTATTATTATTTTGAGAATGGAGTCTCACTCTGTCACCCAGGCTGGAGTGCAGTGGCGCAATCATGGCTCACTGCAAACTCCCCCTCCTGAGTTCAAGTAATTCTCCTGCCTCAGCCTCCTGAGTAGCTGGGATTACAGGTGCCCGCCACCATGCCTGACTAATTTTTTTTGTTCATGTATTTTTTAGTAGAGATGGGGTTTCACCTTGTTGGCCAGGCTGGTCTCAAACCCCTGACCTCAAGTGATCCACCTGCCTTGGCCTCCCAAAGTGCTGGAATTACAGGCATGAACCACCATGTCCAGTCTGATTGTCTTTTAAAGCTGCTGTTAATGTAATCATATTGTTTTGCTTTAATTTACTGAGTAAATGAATTATAATAAAGGACTGCTATTACTTTTCTGGAATATTCTTTAATCATTTTTGATAAACATCTGGATTTGATTTCCTAATATTTGCTTAGAATGTGCTTTTCATATTGATCAATGAAATTTGTCTATAGGTTTTTTTTTATATTACTTTTACCAGAAACAGGTTATGCTAAATTGAAAAACTAAATTGGGAGGGGTTATTATTTATTTCATCTAGATTAATTTAAGTTGTATTGAAAAGTATCCTGACAAAATATATGTTCAAATGTTAGAATGTTTATCAGTTTACAATCATTATGTAATTTTTATATTCAATTTTCTCCTTATTGTTATCTTAAGATTTGCTGATATAAATTTGTATATAATATATTCCCATGATTAGTTTACTTTTTTTCTTTTTGAGACAGAGTTTTGCTTTTTTTGCCCAGCCTGGATTGCAATGGCACGATCTCGGCTCACTGCAACCTCTGCCTCCCGGGTTCAAGCAATTCTCCTGCCTCAGCCTCTTGAGTAGCTGGGATTACAGGCATGTGCCACAACGCCTGGCTAATTTGTTTGTATTTTTAGTAAAGACGGGGTTTCTCCATGTAGGTCAGGCTGGTCTCAAACTCTTGACCTCAGGTGATCCGACTGCCTCAGCCTCTCAAAGTGCTGGGGGTATAGGCGTGAGCTATCGTGCCTGGCTGATTAGTTTACATTTTTATATCTCATGTTAAGATTCCTTTTTTAGTCCTAATCTAATACTGTTTGCCGCCCTCCATTTTTGAAAACCTTATTTTAAGGAATTTACCAGTTTTAGTGATATTTTTACAAGACTCAGATTTTATAGTTATTATTTTTTGCATTAAAATTATATAACATTTTCCATACTAATTACTGTTTTTCTCTACATATGTCTTCAGATTGATTTTTATTCATTATTTAATTTTTTATAATGAATAATATATATCCTTCACTTACATCTTTCTGGTTTTTTTTTTTTTTTTTTTGAGACAGGGTCTCTCTCTGTCACCACGGAGTGCAGTGGCACGATCTTGGCTCAATGCAACCTCTGCCTCCCGGGTTCAAGCGATTCTCCTGCCTCAGCCTCCCGAGTAGCTGGGACTACAGGCGTGCACCACCATGCCCAGCTAGCTAATTTTTCTATTTTTAGTAGAGACAGGGTTTCACCATGCTGGTCAGGATGGTCTTGATCTCCTGATCTCATGATCTGCCTACCTCGGCCTCCCAAAGTGCTGGGATTACAGGCGTGAGCCACCGTGCCTGACCCCATCTTTCTTTTTTCAATATTGAAAGCATTTAAGCCATTTTGAAAATAAATTTAACTATGTTCTATTAGTTTTTATATAAAATGTTCTTATTTTATTATTTTCTAAGTGAATAATAATTTTATGTTGAATTTTCTTTGAATAATGGAAGATTTAATAATTTATTTCAAAATGCCTAGTAGCTACCAAATTTATTCATTTTTATTATTTATTGGAATTTTATTAAATATATTTACTTTTATCATTTAGAGGCATGTGAACATATATGTGCATACATTCACACAAAAGTTTTGTTTTAAATTTCTTCTATTTGCTTCATTTTAATAGAAGTATACTAAAATCTTCCAGTGGACCTATGTATAAGTTCATATAGCCTCCCTTGTTGACTATGGAAATCATTATTGTGCTTGTCTCCTAGAATTCAACACACCTTCTTTCAAAAGCTTTTTTTTTTTTTTTTTTTTTTTTTTTTGAGATGGAGTCTGGCTCTGTCGCCCAGGCTGGAGTACAGTGGCGCCATCTCGGCTCACTGCAAGCTCGGCCTCCCAGGTTCACGCCATTCTCCTGCCTCAGCCTCCCAAGTAGCTGGGACTACAGACGCCCGCCACTACGTCCGGCTAATTTTTTGTATTTTTAGTAGAGACGGGGTTTCACCGTGTTATCCAGGATGGTCTTGATCTCCTGACCTCGTGATCCGCCCGCCTCGGCCTCCCAAAGTGCTGGGATTACAGCAGTGAGACACCACGCCCGGCCTCAAATGCATTTTATACCATGGTCTGACTTACTTTGTAAAAGCAGCTTTATTTATTTAACTTCCTAATTTAAAAAATCCTTTATACCTAGACATTGTTTATTTTATCTATAATAATATACTTGCATTTAAAGTACTCCCAAGTCTTGTCAACCTTTGTCTGAACTTAACCTGGTAGGAACTCTCCTCACAGATAAAGCAAGTTTTTTCACCTCTGTGCCATTAGTCACACATGTACTTTTGCCTGAAACATCCAGATTTTATCTCACTATCTGCTTAGCCCAATCTTTTTGCCAAATATCCTCCCCCAAATGACCTGTCAATTTTATGTTTTTCTCAGCATTGCCTGTGTGAAGCATGAATTCTAAGCATTCTTTACTTTTTAATTTATTTTTTAAATTTTATCTTTTCATCGTATGACAACCTAACAAAAATAATATGAGAATACAAACAGAGACAGCCATGTTATAACTCAGTACTGCCACAGAATTTTGGTGTCCGTTTTAGTCCATTTCACATCAATTGTTCTCCAATAATTTTAGTATCTATGATACTATAGGGAATAAAAGTACAGTTTTCTACCCTTAATATTATATTCAAGTTTGATCACTTCACAGGGCAAATGTTTTCTTTATTTCAAAAATAATTTATAATTTAAAAATGCTTATGTTGAATAAAACCTAGTTTCTTAGGTTCATATAGTGAGAGATTGCCTGAACATCATAAAAAATAAGTAGAAAGGTGGTCGGAAAGTAATGACGAGGAGCTAAAAACAAAACAGACATGAGAAGGTAAATTTATTGTAAATGATAATCAAATGATATAATGAGGCTGAATGAAGAATAGCTTCACAGCTGTTCAAGTCAATTATATGATAGTAGAACTGACTCATTATATGGTCCACCATGTAGACATGTGTAACAACACATACAGGTATACTGCAGCATAACTAACTATCAATATCTCTAACTGATGGACTCTGTATATTCCCTTTATTGTACTTTCCTTCTTGCAGTAGCTCTTTAACAGTAAGTATGTTGGAAAGCAGTAACTCACTTTGCTTTATTTAAACGGGAGCAGAACTTTTTTTTTTTTTTTTTTTTTTTGAGGCAGAGCCTTGCTCTGTCACCCAGGCTGGAGTGCAGTGGTGATGTCTCGGCTCACTGCAACCTCCGCCTCCCGGGTTTAAGCAATTCTCCTGCCTCAGCCTCCTGAGTAGCTGGGACTGCAGGGACCCACCACCACGCCTGGCTAATTTTTGTATTTTTAGTAGAGACAGGGTTTCACCGTGTTGGCCAGGCTGGTCTCAAACTACTGACCTCAGGTGATCTGCCAGCCTCAGCCTCCCAAAGTACTGGGATTACAGGTGTGAGCCACTGCACCCTGCAGCAGAACCTTCTTATACTTCCACTTAGTGTTCATAGGTGTTACTGACCAGTGAGAATTTTCGAAGATCTTAAATGGAAAAAAGATTAGGAAGTTTTGTTTGACTAGCAGAATAGTGTTCAGAGTGTCTTATATGTTTCCTTCCAGATGCAGATGAGCTAGAGTTTTGATTTTTTTTCCATGTAAAGATGAAACTTAGACTGTAGAGAAACATACAGATGATAATTCTCTTCACTTTCCAAAATTATGACAGCTAAGTCTTTTAGTCACAATTTAGAAAATCAGATTGCACATACATTGAGTTATGAAAAACAACAATGATATTTTTGTAAATGTTTCAAGATAACATTTTATACTGAAGATGAAAAATGTCTAATTTAGAAAATGAATCTGTCCTAGAACCTGAAGACCAATAATCCAGAAATATGATAGGCACACAAAGAAATGCTTTTCTAAATATTAGTCCCACACTATAATGACTTGGACCCTGTGTGGTTGCTGTGATTACCAAGAGGAGAAAGCCTACGTTTACTTGAAATTGTGGCTTTGATCACTACAGATTTAAATAATCCAGGACAACCAATATTTTAATAACTGAGGAAAAAAATCAATTGCTTCAAAAGAGTATTCAGAATCAAATACTAAAAATTGAGTATGAGTTGGCATATGGGAATATATGTATTTGTTTATATAACATATAAATACATATATATGTGTGTTTAATCTGTGCATGAAAATGTATATGTTTGTGTGTGTGCGCATGTGTTAACAAGTCACAGAAGATTGTCTCATTCTAAGATTTGGAGTTTCCAATTTCCTTGTGAATAATTTATTTGCCAAATTTTATTTTGTATATATTAATATAAGCTTTGGAGCAGAGATTTTCAACTTTGGGTCTGTTGATATTTTGGAATGCATCGATCTTTGTTGTTGGAATGAGGCTGTCTTGAACATTGTAGAAAGTTAGCAGCATCCCCAGTCTCTATCAAGTAGATGCTAGTAGTAGCCATGCCCTAGTTTTGACAACCAAATATTTCTCTAGATATTTCCAGATGTTTCATGGGAGAGGAAGTGAAATCATCCCAGTTAACAACTACTGCCTAGAGAAAAATAAACAATAAAAGACACAGAAACTCTTTCTCAGCATACACAGATCCTTTGTAAATATGTAATTTCAATTTTTTTATATTATTATGTTCTTTAAATATCATACTTCATTCTTTGGCCAAGTCACATTTGAGAAGTATGATCATTTATTTATTAAAATATATGTAAAAGGATAAGGTCAAAGCTATTATCATACACTTCTACTTAAAAATTCTGCTTAAATTCACAAAGGCTGTAATAATTATAGGGTTATTAATTGTCTGTAAAGAAGTGTGTAAATTACATAACAATAAACTCTACACACTGTATTAAAATTTTAAAGGCTAGAGGCATCTGTACCTTACATAAAATTACTTCTATACACAAAGAAAATATTAATAATGATATGAACTTAAAAATGTTTTAAAATCAATGCTTATCTAATTTTGAACACCTGTTAGAGTCTTGCAGTACTTTGATATTTTCTGCATTAAATTCTCCTAAAACACCGTCTGCTTTGTAGAAGTTTCAAGGACACATTGAAGGAGAATTAAATTATAAAGTAACATTGCAGCTTGTTCTTATATTTACATTTATCTTTAAGGAGAGTAATTTATTTTGGGGGCCAAAGAGAACTATATATCATACTAATGCACATTCAGTTTAAAATTTGCCCTTCACGCTATGACTGGACATTGTTAAGCTCAGTTTGCAGTGGTTTTGTTTGCTGGAGGGGAAATTTCAAATAGGTAAGCTCTATAGTAGTCTCTGCTTCGAACATATTTTCTGTTTTGCATTTATGTGGGAGTGGCAAAACAAAAAAATCATCTGCTAAAAAGAATAACCTCATAATAACCATTTCCTAAATCTGTTGAACTGATCCTCATATGTCTACCAGATGGTGAAGTGGTGAAATGGAACCAAGAACGCCTTGAGGCAGTTGCTGTTGCTGTTAATCTCCGGAGGATTTCAATATGGAAGCATACCTGACTAAAGTCTGCATCAGCCTTGCAAGTTAAAAAGAGATTTTCAATATAGTTCCTGAAAAGGAAGATAGGAATTTGTTGTGTCTCCACTCTTCTGTTCAAACAAAAATATGAATTTTTGCTGGTTTTGGAAACACAAGTGTACAATGTGGTTTTGCTTGAGGACTAAATTATCAACATATACTACAACTTTGTCCTGAGCTGCATCTAACTTTAGATATTCTGTTCTAATAAATTCTGTTTATAAATTCTGTTCTAATGCATTTAAATAAAAAGTCTGGGCTGGAAAAGAGGCATGCCAGGAAGAGGAGGGAACGTTGTGTGATAATCAAGAAGACAAATTCCATTTCCATTTGTTAAGAAGTGAGAAGCAAAACTCCACGAACTTTTTGATGTTTAAAAACAAGGTGAAGAATGTCACTTTAATACATATGATGACATTTAGAAGTTACTCTCTGAATAATTTTCTGGCCAAGGCTATAACATAGCTCCAAGCACAACCAATTAAAATATGGGAAAAGGACCAAAAATATAATCTATCTTGTACGAATAGTTACCGGGAATTCGTTTTTTAAAATGGGACCGTTTATTAAATTAAAAGAGAGTCTTTAAGAAGCTTGTTTGTATTTGTTATTACTATTATAATGTGGAATGCCCCATTTAATTTAGAATGACATGCTAGGGAGACAAGAAAAAAAATCAAATTTTGCCTTTCTTTTGACCAACTCTTAATTGTTACTTTTGTATTAACATAAAGTATATACAGTTATTTCACAAATACTAATAATCAACAATACTTGGAATTTTCCAAGAGGGAAGAAACAAACAAACAAACAAAAAACTCTGTGAGGTTCTAAATTCCTAACATGTATGTATTTCTTAGAAATAAAAAAAGAATAAATGCTCTTGTTAGTTAAGGTATTAAAACTAGCAAAGTGTTTAACAAAGTACTTCTTTACTCCTTCAGTTAAGTATGACATATATGTGGCAGTATAACATATTTGTTAAACTTTTCATCATCAAAGTATATTATTACCACATATAGCAATTAAAATACCATTTTCTATGGAAGAACCTGTGTTAGTCTTTTATGCAGCACAATTCAGCACCTGAATGCTAATTTCAATAAACTCAGTTTATTACCACACATTTCCTAAAGGCAACTTTGAAAATACACATGTAAGCTAGGACAGATCTTCCAAATGCTTCACATTTTATTCCCCTTCGAATGTCTTTAAATACAACAGCTCTTCTACTGCTCTGGTATATATTTTATTGTGAACCTTGAATAAAACCTCTCATGCAGTTTCATTTAATGTCTTATTCACGTTTTCTTCTCTCATATTATTTCTCCATTTTTTTTTTCACCAGATGTTCAAAAGATGGTTTGTCAAGGAAGAATCTTACTGAAGAAAAGAAATGAATGGGTCAACAGAGAATCCTCCTCATTGGAAATGTAAGGAAACCAGTAGAAGCAATATGTTAATGTAATTTTATTTCAATTATACAATACTACATTTAATATTGATAATATATTTGGTTTGGATTAATGGGGATTTAATTTAAAAGCAAAATACCAAGATTATAACATTAATAAGAGAAATATAAAAAGGTTTTTTTATTCAGTAGATGTTTATTCTATGTGAATAAGCAATTTGAAACACAGAAAGTATTAATGAACAAAATAAAATTCTATGTTTATCCTATTAGTAGAAAAATTCAATGGTAAATAGTTTTAAATAACGTAGATTATTAGGAAATTTTATTCATTTCTGACTTTTTCACTTACTACATGTATGAGTATGAGCATATAACTAAGGCTAAGTTTCTTCCTCTATAAATTGGTATTAATAACTTGGAGCTGCATTATCAATAGAACTTTCTGTGATGAAGAAAGTGTCCTATATCAGCTCTGTCTGATACAATAGCCACTAAGCACATGTGGTTATTGAACACTTTGGATAAGATTGGTGCTATTGAAAATCTGAATTCTTAATTTTAGTTAATTAATTTTTAAATTTTATTTATTTATTTTGAGACAGCCTGTTGCTCTGTTGCACAGGCTGGAGTGCAGTGGTGCAATCTCAGCTCACTGCAACCTCCCCTCCTGGGTTCAAGGGTTTCTCCTGCCTCAGCCTCCTAAGTAGCTAGGATTACAGGCGTGTGCCACCATGTCTGGCTAATTTTTGTGTATTTAGTAGAGATGGGGTTTCACCATATAGACCAGGCTGGTCTTGAACTCCTGACTTCAAGTGACCCACCTTCCTCAGCCTCCCAAAGTACTAGGATTACAGGCGTGAGCCACCATGCCTGGCCAATTTTAGTTAATTTAAATGAAAATAGTTATATGTGGCTGGTGACTACAGTATTGTTCAATACACCCTTAAAGGATTTAGTGATATTACCATGAAATTAATTACATTATTTATTAAAATAATTTCTCTTTTCATTTTCTCATAAAATTAGCAAAGGTCAAAATGTTGGCCAGGGTGTGTTGAGAATGTCTTTCTAATAAAATTATTATGCAAGAGTGTACTGATACTATATTGGAAACAAAATTTGTATATCTAAGTCTTAAAATGTTAATATTTTTAACTGTAAAACCTTATTTTGAAATATTACCCAAGAAAATAATCTAATTTTGACATTACAATTTTTGCTTAACTGACTTTATTTTGAGAAAAAGATTGGTCAATTGCTATAAGCTTTTACTAATCCATTGTAGGTGCAAATTATGTGACACTTTGAACAATCATTAAATTAAGTACATATTAAGATGCCACGGGTTTATATGAGTTTGCTGTAGTGAGAAACAAGAACAACAAAAAACAACAATACACTGGAAACCCTAAGAAAGACATTTCATGTCTCTTATCAGTTAGTTGTGTGTCTTTGGGAACACCAAATGACTGCTCTGGGTCTTAGACGTTCTCATATGCAAAATGAAAGATGAATAATCTATAAAAGACATTTCAGTTATATAATTCTATGTCTCTTGCTGCTTTTTCACTGAAAAACCCAGAAACAAGTTGTAAAAAATAGTCTTGTTGTTTACCACACTTGTATTCAATACAACGTGTATCTTTGGGGAAGAATTAATATTTATCCTGAGGCAAAGATGCTTTCAAGGAGGATAATTTGTCAAATACTCTTTGAGAGCACACTGTTGAGCATCATCAAAGCAAGGGAAAGAGTACTTGGACTCATCTTGCAGTAACATACAAGGAGACTCTTTGGAGTGAAGCATGTAAAACGAGAGCTCCAAGGCACACACAGCAGTCAAAAGAGAAATGAGCCGGGCAACAGACCTGAAGAAATATTAACCGTGCTGAGAACTTGACTATTTATATAAGGTTTAGTAATAAGATACAGTCTAAGAGAAAGGATGTGCATTTAGATTTTTATCTGCCTAAATTGTGGTGATAAGCTATAAAAGAAAGCCCTAGATTATCTGTAGGATGCTAGTGAGATGAACTGTATATAGAAGTATTTTTAATCTAATTAATGTGTAACAGATCTATAATATCATCAGCCATTACATTTGAACTTAAGTGACAAAAAGCATGGTGCTATTAATGAACTACGAATGTGAGAAAGAAAAGAAAAAATTTGGGAGAAATACCATATTTTAATTTTTGACTTTTTGGAATCATAAGACCATAAGAAAGCTAAAGGGAATGAAAATCTGAAGCTTCAGAAGGAAGTCATAGTGAAAATTTTTTTACAAGCGTCGTGCATATTCACTGAACTCAAAATTCGAGTCATTATTAAGGCTACTAAATTACATGCACAATTCAATTTGTTAAGAAATGTGGTTCCATCAACATATAAACAAACAGGATCCATTCAGACAGTAAGACAATTATATCTAATAAATGCAAACCAAAGATACTTCCCCTCCGACTTTAGCAGTAATCCTTGTGCATTATTCCTACATTGTATCTAATTGCCCTTCCATTCTTGTCCTAATCAGATCCTGAACCTTGAACTTGTAAGACATTTGTCCTCACTCCTATTTTCTGCTCTTGTCCAGAGAAATTTGAATTTGATTTTCTCCATTTAACTGTATTAATCTGTCCTTTAACAATAGCTGACCTAGCCTCCTTACTGGATCTTTCTCATTGGCTATGAAAAGTGGGATAGTCTATCTAGCTAAATTGTCCTTCTAGATCCAAAATTCTGTCCACAGCATTGGCATTGGGTGCTACATCTCAAAATGATCCCCCCTTTACTGGAAAAGGTTTTACTACACATGGGTTACTCTTGAAGTCATATCTATGCTACAGGAACTGTTTTTTTGCTAGGGTTTCTAATCTAGGGAACATAACATGATCCAACTTAGGAAAATCAGATTTTCTTTTCCAGAATTTAAAACTTGAACGAAGACACAGATATTAGGAATCATGAAACCTAAGACCTTAGGGACATGTTGGCAACATAGAGATCATTTTTGTGAATTATTGTGGCTGAGGTTTTGGGGCTGCTCTGCATCCAGACCAGGAAAAAAATCTGCATATTTCAGTTTCCTTTTGATGCCTGAGTTGCCCAAAGAAATACGTTTATTTTGGAATAAACTTATTCTAATAAGTTTATTTTGCTTTACCTTCCAGTGCAGATTTTGACGAGAAGAACCTTGGCAAACACAACCACGCAGCCCTATGAGGTAAAAATACACATAAGCAGGAATCACAAGAAAAATCTCTCTATATATATACAAATTGTAGTCTATCATTTTTTCTCTCTCTCTGTGTGTGTGTGTGTGTGTGTGTGTGTGTGTGTGTGTGTGTCCAGGGTGTCTCACTCACTGAAGCCATCTGATCCTTAATATTCTAACATTTCAAGTGAGCTTGGTTATCTCTTATTTCTCTTACATTCTCTAAGAGTGCTTATTTAAAAGACAGGTTACTCTGACACAACAAGAGGTGCTGACTCACTAAGGGGCTGAGTAGGAAATATGGACTATAAAACTGCATTTATTCATTTATGTTCACTATTTTCTATGTTTGCATGTGTGTATGTATACACATATAGAAGTGATATGTATAACAGTAGCTCTTCCTTATTCTCAGGGGATATGTTCCAAGACTTCCAGTGGATGCCTAAAACCATGGATGGTGCTGAACCCTATGCATACCATGTTTTTTTCCTGTATACACACAGTTATTATAAAGTTTAATTTAAGCTTGGTGCAGTGAAAGATTAACAATAATAACTAATAATAAAATAGAACAATTCGTGTAGTAAAAATTATGAGATTGTGGTTTCTCTTAAAATATCTTATTGTACTGTACTCACCTATTTTGGGCCTGCAGTTGACAATGAGTAATTAAAACTATGGAAAGTAAATTGTGAATAATGGGATGGTACTGTATGTATTTATAAATATGTCATTGGTTGAAGCAGCAAAACCCACAAGGAGTAGGTTATATTCTCCCTTTTAAAGAAACTCTAATGAAATTTTGTAGAAAGAAAAAAAACAGAAACAATTTCATACATAAAGCTAGAAAATTTAAATGAAATCTTTTCTCTCCACTATATCACATATGCTTTAATAAAGAAAACGAATGGTTTGTGAATTTGCCTTATACCTGTAAATATAAGAGAAGAGCTCTGAATCATAACTTGAATCTCAGTTAATGAGAGCTGTCTTATTTTAAAGATATTTCAAATGTTCAGAATGCACATGTGTACTGACTTTCAGAAGAAGCTAAGCATGTTAATTACCTAAGTTTTATAGCCTATGGACAATGTAAACAGAATTACTATCCATTGAACCTTTTTTTCAAACTCATTATTTATATTTCAAGAATGTTCTAAGTTATTTTTAAGAGCAAAATGATTTTTAATCATGTCAAATAATATAAGAGACTATTCACATATCAGGTGTCAAGAAATAGAAATACAGCCCTTTGCTTCTGGCAGAAAGAGAATCTAAAAGAAGGCCATACCCGTGCCTCATTAGTCACTCCTTGGTATCTTTACCACCATCAACCTTTTTTTTTTCTATTTATTTCATGGGAATTTACCAGTCAACCAGAATTGTCAAACCATGAGAAATTCCCTTTCCTCATTTTCCTATATGCCTCCGTGGAACACTTGGGAGCAGACTTAGTAACTATAGCCTTGTACTGAATTTTAACTACTGACATGAAAGTGAAAGGTACTATGCTGAGTCATTGTGTCCTTCTCCCTCTAGATTAACTCCATTTTTAGTCTCTGTTACATATGGTAAAATACCAAGGTGTTGAATCAGTAATCTTATGGAATTACAGAAATTTCCTCACTGTTTTCATTTTAATTGAATTGAAAAGAACTTGGAAGTTTGAAGATGGTGATGAGTCAGATGTCATGGTAAACCTTTAGCTGAAGAGAGAAATATATTTTCAGGGCTTACAATTAAAAGTATAACAATGGGTAACTCAATGCAACTGTATGTGTGCCTATCCAGAAGATAGAGGAAGGGTCATAAGTATCTTAGCACATTTATAGTAAACTAATACTGTTAGAGTTTCTCCCTTGGATTTTTACACAAAGGAAATGTAAAATAAACAAACAAACAAACAAAAATTAGGCCTGGCATAGTGGCTCCCACGTCTGTAACCCAGCACTTTGGGAGGCCAAGGCAGGTGGATATCTTGAGGCCAGGGGGTTGAGACCAGCCTGGCCAACATGGTTAAACCCCATCTCTATTAAAAATACAAATATTAGCTGAGCTTGGTGGTGGGCACTTGTAATCTCAGCTACTTGGGAGGCTGAGGCAGGAGAATTGCTTGAACCTGGGAGGCGGATGTTGTAGTTAGCTGAGATTGCACCACTGCACTCCAGCCTGAGCGACAGAGCGAGACTAGGTTAAAAAAAAAAAAGAAAAAAGAAAACAAAAAATTATTTTTCTTTCATTCTGACTTACAGTGGTTTCCTTAGTTTATATGTCATACTTTGTAGTTGTATTAATATTGCTTATTCTTCCTCTTTCCTTCCTACTCTTTCCCTCTCTCTCTGTGTCTTTTTCTGTGTCTCTCTTCCTTTCTGTATGATAAATCTCATGGGAAATTCCTCACCCTAAATACAAGGAAACTAAAAAGTTTGTGTAAAAATTGAATTGAAAGACAAAATTTTTTTAAAAATAATATAAACTTTAAACTTTATTTCTCAACATAAGGGCCATCAAGCTCAATACATATTGTGAGATTATATCAGCCGTTTAATCCATCCCTAAAGAACTGATAGTCTTAGGAATTTAATGTCAATGCAGTCTTTTCTTATTAGGTTGGTGCAAAAGTAATTGTGGTTTTGCCTTTCAAAAAGAAATGGCAAGGTCGAGTGGGATGGCTCACGCCTGTAATCCCAGCACTTTGGGAGGCCGAGGAGGGCGGATCACTTGAGGTCAGGAGTTTGTGACCAGCCTGGCCAACTAGTTGAAACACTGACTCCACTAAAAATAAAAAAAATTAGCACGGCGTGGTGGCTTGCGCCTGTAATCCTAGCTACTCGGAAGGCTGAGGCAGGAGAATCACTTGAGCATGGGAGGCGGAGGTTGTAGTGAGCCGAGATCGTGCCACTGCACTCCAGCCTGGGTGGCAGAGTGAGACTCCGTCTCAAAAAAAACCCAAAAAAGTAATGGAAAAACCGCAGTTAATTTTGCACCAACCTAATACATTGTTAACTGAAAAATGGATGCCCTTTACAGATTTGTTATGATTAGAAAACAAAAATGACTTAGAGCCAAATCAGAAGGGTTAAGGGGATGCTTAATGATTTCCCATAGAATTCCCACAAAATTACCCTTATTTGACGAAAGGAATGAGCATTGTCACGGTGGAAAGGGACTCTCAAATCGAGGTGTCTTGAGCATTTTTCTGCTAAAGCTTTTTCTTACTTGCTCAAAACACTGTGATAATAAGCAGATGTTATTGTTTTTTGGCCCTCCAGAAAGTCAAGGAGCAAAATGCCTTGAGCATCTAAAGAAAACTGTCTCCATTAGCTTTGCTCTTGGCCATCCTGTGTTTGCTGTCACTGGACCACTTCCAGGTCTTGGTAAGCATTGCTTTGATTGTGCTGTGTCTTCAGGATCATATTGGGAAAGCTATGTTTCATCTTTACTATCCAATTATTCAAAACAATGCTTCAGGACCTTGATTGACTTGTTTGAAAGTTCCATCAAAAGCTCTGCTCTTCTCGGCAGCTGATCTGGGGGTAACCATTTTGGCACCCATCAAGTAGAAAACTTGCTCTCCTTTAATTTTTTAGTCAGAATTGTGTAAGTTGAACTAACTGAAATGTATATTGCATTGGCTATTGTTTTTGCTGTCAATCATCAGTGTTCTTCAATTAGGGCAAAAACGAGACTGAATTTTTCCTTGCAAGTTGATGTGGATGGTCTGCCACTACAAGCCTCATCCTCAACACCATCCTATTCCTTCTTTTAAATCCATTTGTAAACTGCCTAGTTATTTGAAGACTGTCCCAATAAAGTTTTCATAAAGCATATGTGATTTCACCATTCTTTCATCCAAGCTTCACCATAAATTTGATGTTTGTTTTCACTTCAATTTTAGCAGAATGTATGTTGCTCTGATAGGGACTATTTTCAAACTGATGTCTTATCCTTCCTAATGTTTCAAACTAGATCCTGTTGAGACATGTTATTAGAAGGTAGTATGAGTTTATTTTGATGCAAACATAATTTTGAAATCCATGCCTACTTTTTCGTAATATGCATTTTCCATGAATTTTTAAATGTTCCCTCATATTTTCTTTAAAGTTTTCTTCTAAATTTTCTTCCCTCACATAATTCAAGTGCTAGGTTTAATGTATGTTGTGCCTCAATAGTGAGTGTTGGTCGTGGCTAGCACCTTTTAAGCTCTGGAGAGCTGGCACTGAGGCAGCTGTAGGGCTTGGATAGGTGATGGCGGTTCACAGAGTGAGGTCAGCAGGTGTTTGCCATAACTATCATGAGAACAACTCCAATATAAATGTTGGTCCCAAAAGGAAGTAAAATGATTAGTTTTATTGATAGGTATTTATTGTAAGTGACACATAAATCTGTGGTTACAGGGGTTGGCAAGATTCCTTATTTTAAAATTCAATCACATATTTTATGACTTGTAAGGCACAATTTCTGTTGCCTTTGCCTTTCTTTGCTAAAGCCATAGCAATCACAATAACAGCAGCATACTGGCTCACGGGTTCAACTAATATAAAATGCTTTGGAAATTGGGAAAAAAATTAAATATTAAGCCTCCGTGAGTATACTGTAAATTGGAACCATGTCTGTCTTGTTCACTGCTCTATCTCTAATGCCCTAGCACAGAACCTGGCTCATGCTTGGTACTTGATAAATATGTATTGACTGAATGAAGGACATTACCATCTTCTCCAGATGGCTGTGACTCCCGCTATTTTTCTGTGATCTTATTATGTACTTAGGACTATCTCTGAGTTCTCAAACCCGAGTTACATTTAACCAAGTTTTATTACTTTTATATTTTTACAAAGTAAAACACAATTTACAAAGCTAGATAACTATATCCAAATGTAGCTAAAATATAATCTAATGATTGCTATGTTAGCATGATAATCAAAGTGCTAGGAGAGCATGGAGCAAGGAGTAATTATTCCACTTTGGAATTTCAAGGGATCTAGCACAGAGAATTCACCATTAAATCTAAGCCTTGAAAGGAAAGAATATGAGTATATGAAAAGCATTATAGTAAACATGGCAAATCAAATACATGTGTTTCCCTTTTACAATCCTACATGAAACTTGAAAAAATTATAAGAAAATAATGAAAAAATATACATATATATATATATTTCCACCTCCCCCTCAAAAAAAAAAAAAAATCAGAGTATTAGAGCAGGGGCAATTGCATATAGGGGTTGTCAACACATTTTTGCACCAGAAGAAACAGCTGAAGGAAGTAATAAAGAAAGATGTCAATGGTCTACATGGATAGTGGGGTGCCAATGAGAGGTAGAGAGTTTTAGAGGATATAATTTTATGAGATTATTACAATAAAAATTAGAAAATATCTTTTTATAACATGTTTTCATTATGCTACACTTAAACTTCTGAATTTTTAAATGTTTAAGTAAAATTAAGAAATTTTGTGGAAGCAAAGATCGTTTAAGAGGACCATTTTCAAATTTTCATTAATATATATTTGCCAGGAGGTGGAAACTTCTTTGGGACATAGAACATTATGGGGAAAAACAACTAAAAAATATTCAAAATTTCAGTTAACAGTTTTGACTTACAAGAATATTTTATCAATATAAATATGAATATGGTTTGATTTTGGAAATGTTATTATTCTGGTCATTGCTTAAATAAGAAACAAAATTATGCTTGTCTTCATTTATTGTGAAAGTTTACAATAAAATTCAAGACTACATTGCTAATGGCTAACAACCCATTAGTTTATAATCTTATTAGTTTGTAACAACAAACATCTATGTCCTGTTCATGTTGTATGTAATCAGATACAAGTTACTTCGATCTGCTCTATATGTCTCCTTTCCCCAGAACCCAGGCTAAAGGAGCAGCCCTATTTTGAACATATTATTTTCTTATCAGAGGGAAAAAAGAAGGAGAACTGGTAGAAATTTTTAGTGCCTTCTAAGCTTCTGCTCATATTATAACATATGCCATGTTTTCTCAAATACCACTTATCAAGTACATCACAAATCCATGACTATCATTAATGGGACAGAATACACTCCCCTCACAAGGCAATGAATAAGATGTGATGCTGAGCTGGGGTGAATCCTCCTACAGGGCATGGAAATTATACCTGAGAACTATAATACAATCTGCTACGCTATCCCTGGTATAAAACCAAAACAACAAGTATACCACCAAATATTGTTCCAAATATTAGTCTATGTTGCTTAGCATTATTAAAGAGGTTTGTCTATAACAAAAAATTATAGCACACTTCAAATGGGAAATATTTGGCGAAATCTTGTTGAAATCAAAACGAAGCATGAGTGGCTAGTATCATGATTTCATAAAACTGTGACTTTATACCAGAATGGAAAGACAAACTAAGTGGCAACACTTTCTATTCAGTAAGTTATTTATGCCTTTTAGTGCATTTAATCATTGTTTTCTCTTGTCATGAAAGTATTCTACATTTACATTCTTATAATAGATAATTCATGGACTTCTATCTACTGTGAGTTGAATCACTTTTTCTGTTACTCTTTAAATCAATTATTACTAAGAAGCTGTTCTGAGATTTCATTATGTCTATTTTCTTCTCGGTTGATTCATTTAAAGTTATAAGTCCTCCAATGATGGGCTATAAGTGATTTTTCTTTGATTTTCAACATTTTGTTTAACAAATATATATTATATTAAAAGGTAAAGTCTCATTAGAAAATCTCTAGGGTCTTTTCTAGTTCAAGCATTGTATAAGTTATCAGATGGCAGCAGCTTGAGCAATTCAGAATTCATATTATGAAAGATTAAAGGAAACCTTTGTATTTTAAATATCAAAGCCATTTTAGCCACAAAAGCTAGCATAGATACCATTTGATACAGTTACTGGCAACAGATTAGCATCTTGATTATACTACAGGAACAGAGTAGAGCAAGGAATTAACTTATAAATTATGCTCAGGAACAAACAAATCAGCCAAATGTGGTGTGGAGAATGATTTCAGTTATAGCTTAAGTATTACTGTCCATTGAGAATCAATCAACATTGAAAATATTATTCTGTTTTGTGTTGCATATGGCATGGAAAGGCATTCTTATTATGTAGCAGGGAGTTTTAGATACATTTAGGATGAGACAAATGTGATACATTTGGAGAGTTCAATGTTTTATACTAATACGTTGCACTTCACTTTTTGAATAGCAACAAGCCAGAAATAGAATATTAGGTAAATCCTTACTAAGTATCTGTACAAAACAATGAATTCCAACTAAATCGAGATGAGACTATTTTTAAAGTAATAATTGACTTTAGAACAGAGGAATGAGGGATAGACAACAATATGATTAATGGATGAACTATGGCTCACATGCAAAAATTAGGGTAGGAAGACATCAAGGAAAAGGCAGTGTTCATTTCAAAGTGTGTTGCATCCCACAGAATCTTGCAAAGGGATGGGGGAGGAAATGGCTAATAATATTTATGCTAAAAATTTATTGAAAAGCTAGTAAATACCAGGCAGAATGCTACGTTCCTTTATAAGCCTCATTTAATCTAATCCTATCAACCTCTCTGTGAAGTACCATGATTTCTATCTAGTTTAGAAAATGTGAAAATTGGCTTAGAGAAGTAAAATAATTTGTCCAACAACATAATTTCAATCAATTTTGATTCAGTTTCATTAGATAGAAAAATTGTTTTGTTTATAGTTGTAAGACTGCTGCAGTCACATGAACTTTGATGAGAGTAAATGAAATCATACAGTTTATTAACTCCTGTAGGCTAGGCTTTTTATTTTTTTCTTAAAACTGTGGACTGAGCACACATGTTACTCTCAACATACCTTATTGGAGTGATGGTGTAGTGAATCAATAGACCTATATGTTAACAATTTTTTGAAGTGAAAAATAGTGGAAAACAGATCTACAGAAAGATAAAACAGAGATTACTATAGCCTGCATTGTGAACAGGAGAGGGCTGCATTATTATTCGGTGGTGATCTTCCCTATGAAAATCAGTATAGAGAACAGGTTAAGAGCTAGGTACTGAGTATGAGAAATGAAATGAAGTAATTGAAAGTTTATCTCCAGAGAGGTTTCTTCAGTTTCTTCTCAACCCTTCACCAAGAGAGCCAAGCAGTCCGGTACTTATAACCAAAAAGGAAAGAAAACCAAAATTACTTGGGGTCCTTTTTAAAAACAAGTCAGTTAATCAGAATGTGGCTCACCTTATTTTGATATATTTTGGCCTCTATGCAGACGAGCACTCTGATTTTTTTTTTTTTTTTTTTTTTTTTTTGAGACCGAGTCTCACTCTGTCGCCCAGCCTGCCGTGCAGGGGCTCCATCTCAGATCACTGCAACCTCCGCCTCCTGGGTTCAAGAGATTCTCCCACCTCAGTCTCCCGAGTAGCTGGGATTACAGGCACCTGCCACCACACCCGGCTGATTTTTGTATTTTTAGTAAAGACGAGGTTTCACCATTTTGGCCAGGCTGGTCTCGAACCGCCAACCTCCTGATCTGTCCACCTCGGCCTCCCAAAGTGCTGGGATTACAGGCATGAGCCATTGTGCTCGGCCCACACTCTGATGTTTAAACAAAGTGTATAATGCAGCAAGCCTGGAAAACATGTCAATTTTATTCAGAATTCCAGTCACTATTTCCTTTAAGGTAGAAACCCCTTAGCAAAGCAGAGCAATAGCAGAGGACTCTTAACCTGAACTGAGAAAAAGCGAGGGAGCCTCCTTAAGTATGAAAAAAGCCTTAAGAAACAACAGATATATAAGGAAATTTAGTATGAAAGAACAAAGCAAATAAAAAATAAAGTAATGGACCAGGAGGAAGCCAGAAGATACAGTTTTATGAGTATTCAGGGTGAAAATCTCTTATAATATAGAGCATAGGCTAGACAGTGTGAAAAAATATAAACAAGAAAGATGATTGATCTAGAAGTGACACCTTACTATGATGTTCTAGGCAAGGATAACTGAAGAACAAATTCATCAGAAAAAAAAAAAAGAAAGAAAGAAAATGAGAGCCAGAGGGAGAGGGAGAGAGGAAGGGAGATGGAGGAGAAGAAATGAATCATTCATGCGTAAGAAAGACACAAGTCTAGATCAAAGGGCCTGCCAAATGACATATAGAATATATATTTTAAAATTCACACCCAGATCTGATGTAAATTTTTTGAATGCACAAGAAAATAAGGAAAAACTAAAATTATTCAAATCAGGAGGAGGGTGGTGGTAGACAAAACATGGGTGACTTAGAAAGAAATAGCTTCAGATTATTATTAACACTGGACTCTAAAAAAAACTCAATAAATTTATGTCCAATGCACATGTACGTAACTAAAGCAGCTTCCAAGAGAACATATTAGTAAAGTGAGAGCATGCAACGCAGTTAAGTGTGAAAGTGTTTTAGAATGATCACTGTGCAGCTGGCTTTGGAAGTGGTCAGCCCAACTTAGGACAGTTAAGTTTTGAAAATAATGTGTTCAGGGTTTTTTTATTCTTATTTTTCTTTTATTCTTCTTCTTTTCTTCTTTGAGGATCTTGCTCTGCTGCCCAAGCTGGAGTGCAATGGCAGGATCACAGCTCACTGCAACCTCTGCCTCCCAGGCTCAAGCAAACCTCCTGCTTCAGCCTCCCCAGTAGCTGGAACTACAAGCACACAGCATCACGTCTGGCTATTTTTTGTATTTTTTTATAGAAACCGGGTTTCGCCATGTTGCCCAGGCTGGTCTTAAACATCTAAGCTCAAGCAATCTGCCTGCCTCAGCCTCCTAGAGTGCTGGGATTACAGCGTGAGCCACTGTGCCTAGCTGAAAAGAAGGTTACAAAGAACAGGAGAGTTTCATTACTTAGCAAAACATGAAAGACTAAAATATAGAAAAATGTTGTGGTTTCATGAATAAATTATGCATTTCTGATTCAAATATGAAGCAAACCAAAATCTGTTCTTATTTTGATCAACTAACTTAATAGAAAAGAATAAATGTATCTCCTTTTTGCTAAAATTATTATTCTAGAAAGGTCATACCAACCCATATCAACCCAGTAGAATGAAGTATGCAAATTATTCTGTAGTATATGCAAACAATATGCAAAATGTTGTTTACCAATATTTATACAATCACAAACAAATCATTTATTTCCCTTTTATTGAGGCATAATTTATATACGGTGTATGTACAGATCTTAAGTGTAAGTTATATGAGTTTTGAAAATGTACATATGTATGCATGTAACCCACATCCCTATCATGATGTAGGACATTTTAATTGCCCTAGATAGTTCTCTGGTGTACCTTCCCAGCAACTCTTGAGCTGTGCCCCAACCCTAGGCGACTGCTGCTCTGATTTCTACCATCTTTGATAAAAATCTATCAATTTTTTTATTCACCATAGAGCTTTATTTTTAAAATGTCACACTATATATACCTTTTTGTGATTTTTAGTAAAATGTTTTTGAGATTTAGACATGTGTGGTATTATTAGCTGATTCCTTTTTATTTCTAATAGTATTCCAATGTATGAATATACAATTTATTATGCATTCACCTGTTAATGGGTATTTGGGTACTTTTCACTTTTAAGTTATAATGAATAAAGTTTCTGTGAACATTTATTATCCACATTTTTCCTTATGAATATAGATTTTTATTTATTTTAGGTAAATACCTAGGGCTGAAATCTTTTGTGTCTTAATGGTATATATGTGCTTAATTAAAAAAAAAACACCAAAAAATTTTCCAAATGTTGATATGATTTTGCTCTCCCACCAACTATATATGATAGTTTTTGTTGCCTCACAACCTTGACATTTGCTGTTGTCAGATGCTCTTAAGCCATTTTGGTTTGTAAGACAATTAGTAATATATTGTCGTTGTTATTTTCATTTACCTGATAACTGATAATTTTGATCATCTTTTCACATGCTTATTGGCCATTTTTATGTCTTTCTTTGTGAAATGTCTATACAAGGGTTTTGCTCATAGCTCTGTATTATTGCTTGTCTTTTTATTATTGAGCTGCAGAAGATGATAGATAGATGGAGAGAGAAGCAAATAGATTTAAATATCTAAGTTTTAGCACTAAAAGATGTTAGTTCTACGTATTGCAAATATATTATCCTACTGTGGCTTTTTTATTTATTTTCTTAATGCCTTTTTAGTGTTTTTTAAGCTTTGATGAAGTTAAATATACTTTGTCATGAGACACTATTCCTCAACATACTACTGGATTCAATTTACAAGTACTTCTTAAATACACTTGCATTTA
This sequence comes from Homo sapiens, assembly GCF_000001405.40. Taxonomy (NCBI): domain Eukaryota; kingdom Metazoa; phylum Chordata; class Mammalia; order Primates; family Hominidae; genus Homo; species Homo sapiens. The sequence continues at coordinate 68,098,662 of NC_000006.12, read as the reverse complement.
CGTTTATAGGTATGTTAGTACTTTGGAGAAGGGGGTTATATGTTTTTCAAGTTTCATATCAGGTTCATGCTGGTCTCCTGAATTGAGTATGGGAGAATGGAGTGTTCACCCTGTTTTTGTTAAGTGTTTGTGTAATATTGACATTATTTATTCAGTAAATGGCTTGAAATAATTCACCATTGAGGGTATCTGGGCCTTGAGTATGTAGAAGTGTGTGTGATTTTGTGCACAGTGTGTGTAAAGACTCCATAATTAGTTTTATTACAGTCATGCGTTGCTTAACAATGGAAATACATTCTGAGAGGTATATTGTTAGGTAAAATTTTATCATTCCAACATCAAGGAGTGTACTTACACAAATCTCCATGGTATACTCTACTGTGTACCTAGGCTATCTGGTATAGCCTAGTGCTCCTAGGCTACAAACCTGTACAGTATGCCAATGTCCTGAATAATGTAGGCAATTGTAACACAATGGTATTTGTATATCTAAACACATCTAAACATACAAAGAGTACAGTAAACATATGGCATAAAAGATTAAAAATGTTATACACCTGCTGGGGGCACTTATGATAAATGGAGTTCGCAACACTGGAAGTTACTCTTGATGAGTCAGTGAGTGAGTGGTAAGTGAATGTGAAGGGGTAGGACATTAGTGTACACTACTGTAGACTTTATAAATGCTGTATACTTAGGCTATCATAAATTTATTAAATTTCTTTCTAGCAATATTAACCTTAGCTTGTTGAAACTTTTTTATTTTGTAAACTTAATAATTTTTTAACTTTTTGAGTCTTGCAATAACACTTAGTTTAAAGCACAAATACATTGTACACTTGTAGAAAAATATTTTCTTTCTCTATCTCCTTATTTTATACATTTTTTTATATTTTTAAAACTTTTATTTTTTATTTTATTTTTACCTTTTAAACTTTTCTCGTTAATCAATATACAGCTGAGTGCAGTGGCTTAATCCTTGCACTTTGGGAGGCCGAGGTAGGAGGATCACTTTAGCCCAAGACTTCAAGACCAGCCTGGGCAGCATAGTTAAACCTCCTCTCTACAAACGTTAAAAAAAAAAAAAAAAAAAAAAAAAAGCCAGTTGTGGTGGCATGCACCTGTGTTCCCACCTGAGATAGGATGATCGCTTGAGCCCAGGAGGTCCAAGCTGATCATGCCACTGCACTTTAGGCCCTGGGTGACAGAGCGAGACCCTGTCTGAAAAAACATAAAAATAAAAATAAAACAATAAAAACCAAGACACAAGCATACACATCAGGGTAGGCTCAAACAGGGCTACGATCATCCATATCACTGATTTACCTCCACATCTTGTCCCACTAAACGGTCTTCAAGGGCAAAACATGTATGGAGCTGTCATCTCCTATAATAATAATGCCTTCTTCCGGAATACCTCCTGAAGGACCTACCTCAGGCTATTTTACAGTTAAAATTTTTTAAAATGTAAGTAGAGTAGTACACTAAAAAAACAATAAAAAGTATAGTATAGTAAGTGTGTAAACCAGTAACATCATTTCTTATCTTTATAAAATATAGTGTACATAATTGTATGTGCTATACTTTCATATGACTGGTGGCACAGTATGCTTGTTTACACCAACACCACCACAAACGTGAGCAATACATTGCCCTATGATATTATGATGGCTACAATATCCCTAAACAATAGAAATTTTTCAGATCCATCATAGTCTTGTGGGACCACTGTCATGTACATGGTCCATTATTGGTCAAAAGGGTGTTAATGTGGTGCATGACTGTGCTTAATAGGTTTAGAAATTTTTAGGTTTTCAACTCCTTTTGTTGTCATTATTTGCAGGTTGTGATTTTAAATAATTATTTTATTTTATGTACATTGTAAAATTTGCTAGCGTAAAGTCGTCAACTTTATACTGCTAGCGTCTATTTAATATCTACAGATTCTGTAGTGAAGTCTCCTTTGTTATTCTTGATATTGATAATTTATGTTTTCTATTTTTCCTTGATTATTCTTATTTATTTATCAATTTCATTAATATTTTCAAAACTTAATTTTTAAAATGTTGATATTCTCTGTTCTTTGTTCATCTACTGTTTTAATTTTTTTGTTTTTATTTCTACATTTTCTGTCTTCTACTTATGTTGATTATAATTTGTTATTTGCTTTCTAACATTTTCATGTGGAAATATCATTGATGTTCTACCTTTCTGTTTTCTAATATACATCACAAATTTTCATGTTATGACTTCTTTTGCTGCAGCATCTTGATAAACTATTACATAACTATGAAATGTCCCTTTTGTTTTTGGTATTACTGTTGTCTTACAATTCAATTTGTCTGACACCAATATAGATACAAGCTTTCTTATGTGTATATTTAATTTGGTATGCATTTTTTATCCCTTTTTAAAAATCTCTTATTTATATTTAAAATTTTTTCTTGCAAACAGTGTGCTGTTGAGCTTCACATTCTTATTCAGTCTGACAATCTCTGCATTTTAATTTTTTATGCAACTATTGTTAAGTCTAACACATTGGCGTTTATTTTCTCTTTGATTAATTTGTTCTTTTCTTTGTTCCCACTTTTGTGCCTTCTTTTTTAGTAAATCATGTACTTTTATCTTCTATTTATTTTTTATGTTTTATTATGCTTCCTTGTATTATTAATTTTTGTGAGTTACTTTAGAGATTATAATGTCCATTTTCATCCTATTACTATCTTTGTTGAAAAGCATATTTTAGTAATGTAAGAACCTGATGTAATATGGTTTTCTTATCGTCCGTCTGCTTTTTTGGTCTAATAACACATAATTCACATCTGCATATAGTATCAATTGTGCAACACTGATAATTTTACTTCACACAGTCAATGCTATGTTATGAAAATTTTAGTAGTTGAACTTTGAAGTTTTATTTTTATATTTATCCTTTCTGGTTTCTTCATTCACTCCTGAAGACTTGTCTTTCTTATGATATGCTTCAATTTTTTATCATCAAAAAACATTTTAAAAAATATTTCTTGATATTCAAATCGATTGGATAAAAATTCTCATGTCTTTTGTTCATCAAAAAGACTTTAATTTGCCTTCATTTGGAGAACACATATTTTACTGAACATGGGATGATTCCACATGGCAATATTTTTGCAGCCCCTTAAAAATGTGTTCTATTGTCTTCTGACCTCCATTGATCTGAAGCAATGTCCTTTACTCTGTGGTGACTTTTTAAGATCCATTCTTTATCCTTGGTTTTTACCAGTTTGTCTGCTATACATTTAAGTGTGTTTTTCTTTCTACTTATACTTTCTGAAGTTCACTGGGTTTTATGTTTCTGGTAGTTACAGTATGTCTTTCACTTAGAAAAATTTAAATATTATCTCTCTCTCACTCTCTCTTTTTTTTTTTTTTTTTTTTTTTTTTTTTTGAGACAGAGTCTCATTATGTTTCCTAGGCTGGTCTCAAACTCCTGGGCTCCAGTAATGCTCCTGGCTCAGCCTCCTGAGAAGCACATGCCACAACAACAGGCTTTGATTTTTTACATACTTTTGATTTCTCCTCTTTTGTGAATTTCAATTATGCATCTGTCAGAACATTTGGCATAGTCCTACAGATCACTGTATGTTTCTAATTTTTAATTCAGTTTGAATAATTTCTCTTGTCTTTTCTTCAAGTTTCTCTGCTGTGGCTATTTATTTCTAATACTACATTTTCCAGGTATAAAATTTCTATTTGAATTTTTTTCATATTTTCCATCTTTGTTGAGATTCTTCAAATACACACACACACACACATATATATATCTTTTGACTTTTTCATATATATTTTTATTTATAAGCCTGATAAAAACCAACATCTTGGCCATCCTTGCTTGTTTTCTATTAAATGTTTTCTCTCTTGACAGTTGGTTATATTTTCTTGCTTGTTTTTACTGCATTTTTTAAAGGTTATCCCAGATTTTGTGCAGAAAATAGTAGAAACTATATTAAATGATATGTATACCCTCAAAATATGTGCTTTTCTTTTTGTCAGGCTTCTAGTATTGAGCAAGTATTTCTGAGACAGTTATCTCTGTAGAAGGTGAATATGCATTTTTGTTGTCTAAAATTTAGTTCACTACTGTCTTGAAATTATTTGAGAATGGAATCAGAGTCTTCTTTTTATCAAAATTTGAAATCTGATAACCAAAGATGTTCCAGAGATTTGCTCCTGGTTTAAAGTCCATATGCCTGTTTTATAAACAGTAGGAGATATCACAGTGCTTTAGAACCTGTCAGCTTTTCTACACAGTTTATTCTCCCATCTGGCCCTTTCATTTTATGTTTATCTTTTTCTGTTCTGCTTTCCTGTCCCAAGTCTTAGATGGTGAAGGCTGTATTTTCTATGAATGTCCACATGCCTGCAGGAGTTGTCCTCCCAGTTCTCTTTTTTGTCTCAGCAAGAGTGGTCCTTTCTGTTCTCTTTTTTGTCTCTCAGCATTAGCAGGACCTGTACACCTATATATAGAAGTGGTATCTGTCAAAAATTCCAGTTTGAAAGTTGATACAAGAGATATAGAGAAAAATATAGTTATAAGACCACTCTCTTATGTAGTAAATAATTAGGAAGTATTGTGTAAATGAGGGAACAAGTGATGAAGATGTATTTATATTTAAAGTTTGAATGCTACTTGGAAGGATAAATGCAACTATTAAAATTTAAGGAAGGTACATGAAAGGGGAATATGAGTATTACATAAATGAGCAAACTAGTAATCTTCTATAGAGACAATTGGTAGGGTCTACAGTTTATTAATCTAGAAGTAAATATAAAATATTTAATGTTGAAGTAAGCAGAAGACATTGTCACACTTAGGAAGAGACAGTGGTGATGAAATCATGTGGGGAAGAGAATCGTTTTATTATATGAACAATATGTTACTTAATTTATAAACAATACATCCAGTGGATATTCTAGTGCTTTTTATTGTAGGACAAGAAAAACCAAAAGAGGAAGGGAGGGGAAGATACAGGATATAGGGCTAAGTATAAAACATGTGTTTCTTTTCTAATAAAAAAAATGCATCTTTGAACATTAATACAGAATTGCTTTCACAGTTCTGCCTAGTGATATGGCTGAAAATGTAAGCCCTAGTGAAATGAGATCAGAGAAACAGAAGTTGATGCCTGTTCTATCAATGAATGTGCACTATATCCTTAGGTTTATAGAAAATAAAATTTTATTCTAAAACGTTTTCTTTTGAGAACCCCCAGGCTATAAGATCAGAAAAAGAAAGAAACTGGATTGTGATTGAGATACAAAACTGAATTATATCAGTGATTTTATATCTTTAATTTATTTTGGGCTTTTGTAGGAGGGTAACAATTATTCTGTGCAATGTAGTATGTATTTATATGCAAACATGACTAGGATATACTTTATTATGTGCTGCTTCTCTTCTGCAATCTGTAGCTAGAAATTAATGACCAAAACTATAAGTTCTGCTTGAACTATCTATTGTAGAGAAGCAATGAATTTTATTAGAATGCAAATATTAATGGATTGAAGTAAATATGAATTAGTATATCCACATAGAATGGCTAATATTGATGAATGCATGTATAAGAAATGAATGTCAAGAAAAAAGATAAACATGAGAGAAAGAATGAGACATTTGGAAAATAAGTTATAGTCTAGGGATAATTTATTTAAATAAATGCAAATTAAACCTTCAACTCCTAACATTGATATGATCCACAAATTAAGAATGGTAGTAGTGCAAAGCTCATATTTGGAGCTTACTTTACTCAAAACAGATCTTCATCATCTTACCTTAGCATTAAAACAACAGAAGCAACTAGAGCAAGTCACTGCAAGTGAGTGACCCATGACAATTAAATTGTAAATTTGAATTTCTTTTTCTTCTATCCACTGCTGGAAGAAAAGTGTTTTTTTATTTTTCTAGTTTTATGAATAATAGGAAAGAGAATGAGGATGTGTGTTTAAAATAGTATTAGCATGCTGATTCCTTTTACCAGAATGTTTTCAGTTATAGAGCATAAGGGTTACATACTAGGAGAAGTTGGAATAGTAAGCTATGAAAATGAGAGTTTGTACTAAATTGTAGTAATAATAACTTGTAGAGAATAAGTGAAATTCCAGAACTAAAGTGTTTGGAATTTTTTTTAGACTACGACTGAAAGTCTTTTAAATAGAAAAGAGTGAATGGTACAAAAAAAAAAATCTGGTGAGATCATGAAAACACTCAGAGAACCAGTAGCTTTAACATTAAATCTACATATTTCAATGGCATCAGTGACCTAATCACACAGAGTATATGCTTCAGAAAGCATACCTTTTGCTCAGTTCACAGGTCATGTGTTTTCATATTCGATCACGCATGAATGCACAAACTTTTTAGTGCAATATTAATCTTGATAATTTAAACTCCTTAAAGTTATGAAATGCAAATTTCAGGTTCTTATAGTTAATTCTGTTTTCTAGGAGACATTTTGCAACTCTTTTTGAATATAAGCAAACTCTAATTACCTTGATTCTGTTGAGTAGCCATTTATATATTGAAATTAACCTTAGAAATCCCGTAAGAGGTTTATATAATAACCATATGATGTTTTCTTGAAGATAGGATGTGAGGCTGAGTCAAGGAGGCTTTAGGTGCTTTCACAGCAGCAGAATCCTCTCCAGCTGTCTTCCAGTGTTTCCCAGAAAAGTACCTGTCCTCGTCATTGCTGTGATGTGCTTACTGCAATTTAACTTTCCTAACATGTTCTCTCTGATGGAAGTCTATGCAGGAACGCAGGGTAGCGGTGAGTACCTGGGAGGGAGTGGCAGGAGAAATGTAAGAAAGGCAATGGAAATAGGGAAGAGGAAGTGGAAGAGGACGATAGGAGAAGAGTAGATTGATTATATAAAAGATACCAGTATTTGTTGCTCTGGTATGTTTAATTTTATGGTTCCAGAAAGTCATCCCATTACATGTAACTTCTAGATATGGTGTTCTTTAGAATCTAACCTACTCACGGATAGTGAGATCAGTTTAGTTCACTTCACAAGTTTTAAACAAATACAAAATAGAATAGACAATGTAAATGCCTATTACATATCATAAAGATAATATTGTTTAATTACAATTCATTTTATCTTTTTTATATATTTACCATCTATATTCAGCAATTAAACTAAAGTTTCAGTTATTAATGACACAAACTATTATCAAACATTTTCCCTGACTATTCTCAGGCAATATTGCCCCATAAGCTCATTCTAAAAATATACTAGAGACAAAACTTTAGACAACCAAAATAACTAGAGAGACATCAATATAAGAGCAGTAATAGGTGGTGATAGTATTAACATTGTATTATTATTTCAAGAATGTTATATTATAAATTGTATCATAAAGTGTGATTAAGCAAATGAATAATCAAGAATGTTGTATTCTTTATTATTCCCTTTATCATTGAAAATGCTGGGAAATTTTCTTTGGAAATTTGTATGAAAGAAGGCAATAGAGATATATTGTAGAGGGGATTAAGTAAACCGCATAGTCCTGAATTTGAAATCACCCTAAACATCATGACAAATGCATGTGTACACACACACACACACACACATTTATGTATAAACAGATATGATTATATATATTATTTTATATATCTGTGATAACATGACAGTATATATATGTGTGTGTGTGTATATGTGTGTGATGTATATGTATATATATATATATATATATATATATATATATATACACACTTATCCCCAGATTTGTCCACTAAAAATCCTAGAACCAATTAGCAACAATGGCAATGAACGTTCATAGTGCCAAAATTGTGGTTAGGCAATATAATTTAGTACCAAAATATAAGGTATTTTGGGGAAAATGTTCAAGGTAAGCCTGAAACGTCTTGACATGCTAGATAGAGATATCAAGCTCTTAAAGTCAATGAGGGTTTTATGAAAAGGACACCACAGTCAACTTGAAGGGGTTCTCACTGGCCTGCGAATTGGCATTTTGTACTTCAATATGCATAAGAATTGCAATCATGTAGAGTAAAGGCGAAAAAATATGTTTAAATCTCTGAGCTTATACATTTTAATTGGCGATTTTCAGAGGTGAGAGAGAAATTGAAAAATAAGAAAATTACAGGATAGAATTGAGCATTTATTCTACCTTTCCTACATAAATGAAACCTTGTAGAAATAATAGATACAAGCAGCATATGATAAAATTATCCTAACCAATAAATGAAAACAAAATGATGCAGTTAGAATATTGCCATTTTGTACCCACCTCTGCAATGAATAAACAGGCATCGAACAACATCAGCATTTTTGCTACTTTTCTCCAAAAGCAACAAAAATAGATATATAAATGTCTTCTAATGAAGAAACATACAAACACTTGAGTTCCATCAAGTCTTTGTATCTAGCTGTCAAATACATAGAACTGAGAAACACATGTAACTTCCCCTTAAAGGATGCAATCAGACATATCCAGACTTCAACTGTTAAACCCCAAGATCCAAAAATACTAATGAGTTGGATTTATGTTTCTTTTCATTTCCATGACTTGATTTTAGTTAATAATGTTTAATTTACTATAGCCTACCTACAGTACATACGTAGTATTTGGTAGGTTAACTTCCCCCTCTTATTTTTCTTCAGAATTATCTTGACTCTTCCTCACTCTCATACATTATTAGGAAGTTAGGATTACCTTGCCAAGTTATTTGAAGACTGACATGAAATTGTGGTAGAAATTTCACTGAGTTTTTGATCATGGCATAATTCTGTAAATTAATATTTTTCTCTGTTTTTATTGGTGCCTTCATTACTTTTATTCAAAAATATTTTTTTTAAATTTATAATATTCCAGACTTACTAACAATATATTTAATTTTTATTATTTTAGTGGGATGTGAATGAAAGATTTAACACCTCAGAGGCATCCACTCTTACCAGTTTCTTGTGCAATATAGTGTCTGCAGAACCAAGTTTACAGCCCATTCTTACTCATGCTTTCTTATCATACCGTATGGTGCTTACATGCATGCAGATGATGGTGCTCACCTTTGCCTGCAAACATGTTGTTCGTTCATCTCCTTTACTCCAAACAGCTGTTTTTTGGCACTTCTCAAACCTGCACGTGTGCATGAATGTGCATAGAACATTCATGGAAGAATGAAAATGGAAAAAAAATGGCTCATGATATCCTTTGATTTAAGCAAGAGTATTTATGGGGCAGGGATTCCTGGGGTTCTGGATCACTAGAATTTGTTGTAGAAGGGGGATGATGGGCTCCAGGTGGTCATGCTCTTTCCTCTTTCACCCATTTCTTTCATTGTGAGGAGCAGTGCACCTGGAGAAGGGCAAGAAGCTCTCAAATTGTGGAGTCCAAAGCACATAACTTCTTGCTTGTTATAAAGTAGAAGAAAGTTTCTCAGTTAAGCTATGAGGGAACAAGTAGAAGAAAGTTTCTCAGTTAAGCTATGAGGGAACAATGAGAATTGTAAAGGGACACACTGACATATGAAAGCCAAACGGTATTTTGAAGTAGGTAAGGTAGTAAACACAGTAAACGCTGCAGGTGGATTTGACAAAATAAGGAAATAATACTATGCATTGCCTTTAATAACATGAATTGCAAAAGCAATTTCAGTGACATAGTTAGGATAGCCTGTAATAAATGTTATTTCCCTTATTATAATTACAGTATCTCTCAGCTACAGTACAAATTTTAATCCTCTTCATGTTCTGTTGTATCTCAATTCAACCATATAAATCAATAAACCTTTTCCATGAGTTTTGGAATGAAGAATTCTCTACTTGTTGAAGATAGTTCCAGTGTTTTCATTTGAGTTCAGATACTGTAACATAAATAATTTTATTGCTATTATCTACCCAACATTGAGCTTGGCCCTTTTTACTCAGTAAATATTTATTGAATTAGCACCACTGAATAAAGGAGCTTGTCTGTTGTCAAGTGGATTGTCTACCATTACTGAAGCAGTCACGTTTTCCTCCTTAACCCTGAAAAAATGTCTGAGTTGATGTATTATTCTTGAGGCTTAGGCATTGGTGAGCCAATTTATCTCAAATAGAGGCCTCTGGAAAGTAAAATTCTCAGCTGCCTGAAGAAACAAGCTTATTGAGATAATTGAAAACAATTTCAGAAACAACTACTTGAAGTAAATCCTACTTACTTCAGTGGCTGAAAATTGAGAAAGGAATCTAAGTTTACTTGAGGCATGAAAGAAACAAGTGGAATATATGAATGCAGCAATTTTCTTTCTCGTTGCTGTATTTTTAACAAGAAAATACAACAGTGAGTGTTAACTGCCAGTTTCAATCATTTTTGCCAAAAATGGCCATTATCTTCCCCCAACTAAGCACAAAGTGATTTATTTCCACAATTCATGTTTAATATTCTTGTAGCTAACATAAGTTACATAATGCTTTGTTCTCTTTTCCCCTCTTTTGACCATTTAGTGCGAAACAACATTTCCAAGAGTGGTAAGAAGGAGCAAAAAATATTTTCCTAATTTCTTTAACTTTATAATCTTTTCTTTTCAGCCTGAGTCTGAGTTGGCTAACAAAACAGCTGTGTAAAGTTATAGGATTATTACAATGAGCTTGGAGAAGGTAGAAAGAACAAACAGAGGGGACTTTTTTTTACTTTCTGTTTCATCACCAGAGCCTCTTGGCTTTGACTTTGAGATTTGAATAGTCTCTCTCTCTCTCTTTTTTTTCTCTTGAGCAAAATTCTATTGCAATAGGAAGTGGTTTTGATTTGCTTTGAACTTGTACTCTGCAACTGAAGAGAACAAGTTCTTGAGCATAATTTTAATAATTGTTGAACAATTGGCTATTTATCCAAAGAGTTACAACCATGAATCTGAAACTTATTTTAGTACACCAAAATCAACACTGAACTTTCTAGTTCTTTTTTTATTCTGATGCCTCTTTTGCTTCAGAAATTTACTTTTTTATTTTTAAATTAAATAAATAAAATTATTTATTTATTTATAAATTTTTTAAATAAACTTATTTATAAATTTTATTTTGTTAAAATTTATAAAATTTATTTATATAAATTTTATTTATAAATTTGTAAAATTATTTATAAATTTATAAAATTAAATTAAATAAAAAGATATACTTTTTATTTTAGATATAGGACTTAGCTCTGTTGCCGAGACTGGAGTGTGGTGGCATGATCAAAGCTCATATGGCCTTAAATTCCTGGCTCAAGGGATCCTCCTGCCTCAGCCTCCCAAGTAGCTGGGCCAACAGACACTCTCGCTCTGTTGCCCAGGCTCATCTCTAACTCCTGGCCTCAAGTGATTCTCCTGTCTGGGCCTCCCAAAACACTGGGACTACAGATGTGAGCCACCATGCAGAGCTTCCTTTAAAAATTTATATGTTCCCTTCTTATTTTGTTCCACAAAGTCAGCAAATAAAAGTAAGTACTGTGGTTTGTTCAGTGCCCTCAATTTTGCATTAACAGAAAGTTTCTATGTCTTCATAATATTGGGGTTTCTTCACTGTAACTAAAAAGGCATTTTGTGGAAATATTTTTAAATTAAAAGTAATTTTTCTCTTTGTATCTATAATTATTTTATTTTGTGAAATTCAGGCTTCTCAAAAACAATTTTCTTCTAAATAATGAAATATCTTTAAAATGTTATCAGTTAATGAAGGTGTGTACTTTTCTCTAATGCATGATAAAGATACAATTTATGTACATATTTAATTCTATTAGAATTTCTAACATATTTATTTACTTTATTTCTCTGGAAGAGCATTGTCCCTGGCAGCAAGTACAAGTGGTTGATCCTGTGCCATTTGTGGTACTATCAAAATACAACTACCTGAGAAGCTAAATACTCCCCTGAGTTGTTTTTTAAAGACATTCACATAAGGTTTTTCAAGCATACCATTCTACTTCTGCATTAGTCCAAAAAGCTTGATAATACTGTGTAGATAGTGAACAAAGTCAGGGGAGTAAGGCATTGACCTCAGAGAGCTCTAATGTTCAAAAAGCAAGAATACTCCAAGGAAGGAGAGCAGAAAAGTGCTAAGGGACTAGAGTGGCCAGCACTACTGTGTTTCTGCCTGAGTAATATTATCATTAACAGTTATACACACTACGAAATCCTAGGTAAAATTTTATATAAAGTAACTAGACTTCAGTTACAAGCTGCACTACTTTGAAATCAAGATATGTTTGGCAAGGTATATTTTAACAGTTTCACTTCTGTAAATATGAACATCTCTTATGCAAATATTGACTTTTGCTCCTTTATGTCAGACATTTTGTTTCTAAATAAAAGCAAGGAAATAGGGGGGCATGTGTGTTGCGGGAAGTCAGGGACCCCGAATGGAGGGACCAGCTGAAGCCATGGAAGAACATAAATTGTGACGATTTCATGGACATTTATCACTTTCCCAATCAATACTCTTATAATTTCCTATGCCTGTCTTTACTTTAATCTCTTAGTCCCATCATCTTTGTAAGCTGAGGATGTATGTCGCCTCAGGACCCTGTGATGATTGCATTAACTGTACAAATTGTAAAATGTGTGTTTGAACAATATGAAATCTGAGCACCCTGAAAAAGAACAGGATAACAGCAATTTTCAGGGAACAAGGGAGATAACCATAAGGTCTGACTGCCTGCCGGTCAGGCAGAATAGAGCCATATTTTTCTTCTTGCAGAAAGTGAGTAGGAGAAATATCACTGAATTCTTTTCCCAGCAAGGAATAACCCTGGGGAAGGAATGCATTCCCAGGGGTGGGTCTATGAATGGCCGCTCTGGGAGTATCTGTCTTATGCGGTTGGAGATAAGGGATGAAATACACCCTGGTCTCCCGCAGTGCCCTCAGGCTTACCAGGATTGAGAAATTCCAGCCTGTTGAATTCTAGTCAGACTGGTTGTCTGCTCTTGAACCCTGTTTCCTGTTAAGATGTTTATCAAGACAATGTGTGCCCAGGGGGACATGAAACCTCATCAGTAATTCTAAGTTCACCCTCTGCCCTGTGATCTTTTATTGCCCTCTGAAGCATGTGATCCCTGTGACCTACTCCCTATTCGTACACCCCTACCCTTTTGAAATCCCTAATAAAAACTTGGTGGTTTTGAGGCTCAGGTGGGCATCAAGGACCTACCGATATGTGATGTCACCCCCGGAGGCCCAGCTGTAAAATTTCTCTCTTATTACTCTTTCTCTTTATTTCTCAGACTGGCTGACACTTAGGGAAAATAGAAAAGAACCTACGTTGAAATATTTGGGGCTGGTTCCCCTGATACATGTGGATATCTTCAGCTCATACAAGTAGAAATATATGTAAAGTAGTTGAAAACATGACTCTGGAGTTCAGGATGTATGCAGAGAATTAAGTGAAATATTTATTTTTAGTGTCTCTTAGTATCTGAAGCTTCGGGAATACATAATCTCATTCAGGACAACTGTATAGAGGAAAAAGAAAGACAAAATCTGGAGACTTTTATATGGCTTCATTTTATGGACTTTTAAATAGTCTCATTTCTATGGAATAGGATGTCTGTGTGTTAAACAGAAAGAGAATTTTGCTCAGTGTTCTTTATATACTCCCCAATGATATAGATATAGATTTTCAAAGCTAAGAATTACTAATTGAAGAGTAGACGTTTAAGAGATCTGTTGTACTACATGGTGACTACAGTTAGGAAGAATGTACTGTATTCTTGAACATTGCTGAGAGAATAGATTTTAAGTGTTCTCACCACAAGTAAACAATAGTTTATGAGATACTGCATATATTAGTTAGCTTTATTTAGCCATTCCATAATGTATTCATATTTCAAAACATTATGTTGTATACCACAGACATATATACAATTTTTATTTGTCTACTTAAAAAATTAAAGTAAAAGGAGGCAAAAAAAGATGAAAGAACACTAAGAAAGAAATCCAGAAAAATGATATTGTTTAAAATTAAAGTAGGGGTATACGAAGAATGAGGAAATGCAACAATGAGAGGATGTGGTGATGTGCTACATTGTACAATTTTTCTTTGGGGCACAACACATCAAAAGCTTTAAAATATATTTATTTTTGACAAAATCACCCAATTATGAGAATTTATAATAAATACATAAGCATATACTTGTAGATTTAGTGCTATAGTAAGTGATTAATAAGATAAATGGTACTTCTATACAAATACTAAAAATATTGTGGTGGTAGCTTATTTAATAACATGCAAATATGTTGATAACATATTTTTAAAAGCCAACAACAAAAAAGCAAGTTATAAATGTTTTGCATATGGAGGCAATATAGTAATTGACTGCATAATATTCAGAATCAGATGCCAAACTCATTGCCTAGTCTTACTCTTAGTAATCATGGGTCTTTAGGTAAGTTTCTTCAACTCTTTGATTCAGATTCCTCGCCTTTTAGGTTAAATTAATATAAACCTACCTCACAGTGGTGCTGTTGGTATTAAATATCCTTACAAAGTAGCATTTAACATGTTAGCTATTATTGTTACTTTTGTAAAATGAATTGTAAATAGATGCATATACAAAGGAGTTGAATATAAATATTTATAATCATGTATGATTGGTTGTAATTACAATAGATTTTAATTTTTTATATTTTTAATCTTTTAAAAAAAATTCACAGAAAAAATTAATTGTAAAATTTGGAGATCAAGCATAGAAATTAAATTGTGACACTGAAGATATCATTAAAATGTTCTTTATGACTTCTATTTTTTATAAATTGATAGAGAGAAAAATCAATTTTCTATGTGCTAAATAGAAAGTGAAGAAGAGTTTTAGAAGTAGTAATAATGAGTGTATTGTATTGAGACAAGAGCAGGGTGACAGGTTGAACACTAAAAAAAATCATGATTAAAAATAGTCATTATAGAATTACAAGTTTTCATTTATTATTTAAAAATTTTCTACATGCAAGCTATTTGCTCTCAAACTATCATGCCTATCAGCAATACTTTTAAGGATTTAAAATATATGTATACATGTATATATTCCACTGTTTTTTATTTTGATTCTGTAAATATGAACATCTCTATTTATTGCAAATACAAGAAAAAAAATTCATAGATGATACTAATGTCGACCAAAGCTTGAGAAACTTTGTTCCAGATAATAATTGTATAAAAATATGTTAAGCGAAAAGGTAATAGTAGAGTATTTCTAAAATACATTATAGCTATATTTGCCTTTATTTTTATACACTGAAGGATACTCTATAAACAGCAATAGGATGAAAGGACTATTTATAACAAAATTAAGTAGATCTAATCAGATGAAAGTTTGCTTTAAAATAGATAAATGAAATGGCACAAAGAGTTGGTGCCACCCAATGACTCACAGCCACACTATAAACACATGAGGACATCTTCTTATATGTGAATGGAAGGTGAACTTCTCAGAATGCCAGAGGTTGGCAAGAAAATTAGAATGATCAATTGATAAAGTGAACCACATAAAATCATAGATTAGACTTTTGGAGAAAAATATATTTGTTCTAAGTTGAATTTGAAATTACTGTCTTCGGGGAATCAAATATTTGTTCTCTGTGTGTTTTTGTGAATCCCATCTATAATGCATGCATGGGGCAGTAGAGGCAGAAAAAGATTATATTACAGTACAGTAGAGTGTTGAATACTAACTCCTGATGAAGTTCTTCTAATCAGCAAGAACTGTTAGGAACACTGATCATATCCTGGCAGCTTTCTCTGAAAATGAGAAATGGAACCCTATCAGAAATAACTAAATATTTGGATATAGTTCTTTGTAGATCTCTTATGTTTCTAGACAATCTAGGTCTTCTAAGCAAAAGCATTTATAGTCAATTTAAGATTTATTTTTTATTTATTTATTTTTTTGAGGCAGGGTCTCACTCTGCCACCCAGGTGTAAGTGTAATGGCATGATCACGGCTCATTGCAATCTCGACCTCCCGGGCTCAAAAGATCCTTCAGCTTCGTTTTTTACTTTTTTTTTTTTTTTGTAGGGATGAGGTTTACTATGTTGTCCAGTCTGGTCTCAAACTCCTGGGCTCGAGCAATCCTCTTGCTTTGGCCTCCCAAAGTGCTGAAATGACAGAATTTAAGATTTTTTGTACAAGACATTCCAGAAATTTAAAGCTAAAGTCTTCCTTTTCCTCCCAGGATGAGATTTGCTTACTTTCCAAGGTAATAAGATAATACATCTCCTTGGAGGGGAGAATGTGTGTGCCTACCAGAGCATCCCTATAAGATTTGAAGGAGTCCTAAGCTTAGTATTCCTCAGCTGTGTCACTGATCCATCATGTGTTTATCATCCACATGAGTCCTCTCTACCTTGGCCCAGTAGATAGGAGAGAAAGTGAAACCAATGGGAATATGGAGCACATGTGGTCTGCTGTGTCATGAGTAATAAATTGTCTAAATCCATTTAGGCTTCTTTCTTCTTGCTAAATCTGTGATAGAGTATGGAGCTGACCTGGCAGCTGCCTACAGCTTAGAAACAACAAATAGCATTAAATCTATAATTTAACATAAGCAATTTACAACAAAAACTAAAAAACTATTTATGAGCTAATTAAAAATACATAAAACATCTATGGAAGAAAATATAAAACATGATAAAGGTAATAGAAGATAAGCTGAATTATGAGAAGACAGTTGATGCCCTTGAATGTGACATTAGCATTCTAATGATGTTAATTATTCTCAAATTTATATACCTATTCAATGAAGTTCCAATATTCTTAATGTACGTTTTTAGAAACTTGACAATGGAATCTAAAATGTAAATGGCAGAAGAGAAATGTGAATAGAAAGGTTAACTTTGTAAGAGAGTAGCAGGAAATTGAAAGAACAAAATATTTAAAAGATTTGTAGAAAAAAAAAAGAAAGCACAGTGTGGTATTGGGGCAAGCAAAGCCAAATGATATGTTGGAAGAGAGATTTCTCTATGTATATATACAAATTTAATATAAGTAATGGTAACACCACAAATCAAAAGGGAAGAGGTAGATTATTTAGCAAAAGTGTTAGAAACCTGGCACATTAAATGGAGAAATGTAAAAAAGTTTTCCTATCTAACACCATATAAAAAGATAAAATAAAATGAAATATAAATTGTAAAACTATAATGTTAACTAAACAAAAACAAGACAAAAAATGATATTTTTATTTTATCTATAAGGCAATATGGATTCTTAAAGAAATTCCAAAGCTCAACCCCTAAGAAAAAAAGTATGCATGTGCTTAACTTAAAAAGTAAGAATTTCTATCAATAAAAAATACCATGGACACCATTAATTTAAAGATAAAAATATTAAAATATATATACAATGCCTGAAATTAATGTCTAGACATAAAATTAATATCGAGTATAAAAATAATTTTTAAAACAATAGGAAAACAGCAAAAGTGTTAGAACAGACAACATAGAGAAGGAAAATTCCTCAAAGCTGGCAAACATGAGAGAATGTAGTCAAAATGATTTTAATTAGACTACACCTTTTTGAACAATGCGTATTACTTGATACTTGTTAGAATGACAAAAATTAGGATGTTCTTTAAAGCCAACTGTGAAGACGATGTGGAGATATGGTGTTCCTCAAGCACTGCTGTTGATAATGTAGTGTGGTACAGGTCTCCTAGAAAGCAATGTAATACTTCTTCCTTAAGTTATACATACACATATTCTACTACACAGCAATTATATTTTTGGGTGAGTATTACAGGGAGATTCTTCCATTGTTTTATATGAGGACATGTAAGATATTCATGGTGGCATTGATTGTAGTGGTGGGTCACTGGAGGATTATTGATTAGGTAACATTTGAAATATATACTTTCTAGAGTATTATATAAGAAGTATATGCAACAGACAGGATAAACATACAACAGGAATGGATCTTTAACATATGGTCTTTAGTGATTAAAGCAGAAAAATTAGTACATACATAACACAATTCCATTTTTGTAAATTTGAAGAACATTTATATGAAATGTTTCATTTATATGAAAGGACAATATAGATTTTGTAAGAACACACTGAAAAGATCTCCATCTATATCTAAAGCCTGAGAAGTAGCCATAAGGTAGAAAAAAAATCAAGCTTATAATTCTGTTTTGCCACCTTAAGTTTAAGAAACGATATCTATCTTTATAGATAGATATATAGATATAGACGGTTACATATTGCAGGGAGAAAGTAATGGATGTAAACATAAATTAAGAAAGGGCTTTGCAGGAGTCAATAATGATTGTGTGACCTAAAAATTTTAGGTTCACTAAGTTTACTCAGTCAATAAATTATATATACGCTAATATATGTGTATATATGCTAATATATGCAAATATATGTATATGTGCTAATATATGTATATATGCTAATATATGTATATATGCTAATATATGTATATATGCTAATATGGCTTTGGGAATGAGAAAAGGATAATAGCTTGAAGGTAGAATGAGAGGAGTCCGTCAATGTGTCTCACTGTCTCACAGTAAATTAAACATTATAGTAGAGCATTGCATTATGATAAAACAACTGTCAGGTGAAGAACTGGAAAGAGTTCTCCAATCAGAAGTTAAAGAAAGAACAAAGAACAGATTGTGGGCCAGGCGCGGTGGCTCACGCCTGTAATCCCAGCACTTTGGGAGGCCGAGGTGGGCAGATCACGAGGTCAGGAGCTCGAGACCAGCCTGGCCAATATGGAGAAACCCCATCTCTACTATAAATACAAAAAAAAAATTAGCCCGGCGTGGTGGCGCGTGCCTGTAATCCCAGCTACTCAGGAGGTTGAGGCAGGAGAATTGCTTGAACCCGGGAGGCGGATGTTGCAGTGAGCCTAGATCACGCCACTGCACTCTAGCTGGGGCAACAGAGTGAGGACACTGTCTTAAAAAAAAAAAAAAAAAAAAAAATTAGCAGGGCGTGGCAGCGGGCACCTGTAGTCCCAGCTGCTAGGAAGGCTGAGGAGGGAGAATGGCGTGCACCCAGGAGGCGTAGCTTGCAGTGAGCCGAGATCGCACCACTGCAATCTAGCCTGGGTGACAGAGCGAGACTCCATCTCAAAAAAAAAAAAAAAAAAAAACCAGATTGTGAAGCAAAGGAAACAGAAGAGTGAGGCCAGCTAAGAAACTCCTGGTATAAAGCACAGCATCTATAAAAATTGTTGCACAAATCCTGATGAAAGTTAGTCATAGGAGAAATATATATTTGAGAGAGAGTTTATGGCATTTGATGAAAAGGAAGAAATAAAAAATAATTCCATGAATTTGGCCTGAGCATATCTGTTGAAGAGTGCCACCACTAATTGAAAGGGAGAAACTTTGGTAAGGAACAGATTGGGATATAGGGATAGATAAATAAATTATGTTTTACCACCTTAAGTTTAAGAAACGTATTGGATACCCAGCGTAGACATGGAAGGCCTGAAAGAGGCAAGATTTGGAGATAATGACTTCATGTCATCATCATAGTGATAGGGATATTGGTTTGAATGGAATCACCTAAGGGAATATAACTAGAAAAGCAATCACTGAGAGGGAGGAAGGACACTCACATACTTGAAGTCCCCTGAGGGGGTGTACACAGCCAAGAAGCCTGAGAAGTAGCCTAAAGGTGGGAGAAAAAATCAAACTTATAATACTGAAACCATAGAGGAGGAAGTTCTCTAAAAGGAGTTAATTATCCAATATGGGACAGGTAAGTGTAGCGGATTGACTACTGGCTTTGGCAATGTTATTAGGACCAATGGTGACCTTGCCTGGGGAGGAAGAATTTCTTTCAAGTGGTGGAGACTAAATCCTACTTGTTTAAGCAGAGAATCCTTCTTGTTTAAGCAGAGTTAATTTAAGCAGAGAATGGACAGGGCAGAAGAGAGATAAGTATAGACAATTATTCTAAGAAGTTTTGATGTAAATGAGAATAAATACATAAATGATAGATTAACAGGGGTATAGAGTCAAGGGGAAATTAAGCAAAATATTTTTAAAATAAATATTAATGAAACAAATATATTATCAGACACTACAAAATTATTTAATGATAAACTCTCATTAAAGAAAAAATAAATCAAAAGGGAAAGCTTTGGTTTAAAAGGACTAGTATTCCTTTACTCAAATGAGAAATCGAGTTATTTATGTGTTTTCAGGTAAATTTGGGAGATCAAATTAACTGCTTCTTTGAAATGTTACTCTTTTGAGATCCTGGAAATATATTTTTTCAAGTCACATCCTTTAGATCTTTTTCAAGCTGCAATTGATGTACATATAAGCTTTCACAAAAGTAACCAGTACTTGTCTAACCCAGCACTTACTAAATAGTAATAGCTAAACAACTGATACATCTAAATTACTATGTTGAGAGAATTATCAGACATTTCTTCTCCTATTTCCTCTTTCTTTCCTAGCTTTTTTCCTGTATTCATCATGAAAGCAGAGCTACATAAGGCAACAAATTGAGCATTTTTATCACCAGGGAAAATAAGAATTGCTTTCTGCATCTTTTAGATTTTATCAAAAAAGCTAAATCTTTTTCTTTTTTTTTAACCTGAAGAAGACCAACTGTGGGAAACATTTGTCTTCAAGATTCTTTTCATATCACCTTCATTCCAGGGTCAATGAATTTTTATTAACAAATGATAAAAACATGTAATTCCAGTGAGATCACAATTATTTGAAAATAAAAACACAAAGGAAAAATTTGTAAGAAGAAAACACACGGAAATTAATAGTTAATAATTAATTAATATTATATTAATTAATAGTTAATAATGGTTATTAATAGTACTAGTTAATAATAGTTAATTATTAATAATATTAGCCTCAGCCTCCTGAACAGCTAATATTACAGGCGCACACCACCACACCTGGTTAATTTAATTTAATTTTTTATTTTTAGTAGAGATGGGGTTTCACCATGTTGGTCAGGCTCGTGTCGAACTCCTGACAACAAATGATCTGCCCGCCTCAGCCTCCCCAAGTGCTGCGATTACAGTGGTGAGCCATCGCACCCAGCCTGACTAATTTTTTAAAAGCCAAAAATATTTTATTTTAGGTCCAAATGTTCTTCCATGCATCCAAGATTTATAAAATATAATTCAAAAATTTCTACAGCATCATTTGTCAACTTAAGCCTTTAAGGAAATTTCATTCTAATAACCATGCAATTTAGATAAGAACATGTTCTAGGCTAAAAACTCATAGACCTGTTGCATGTACAATCTGCAATAGAAAGTGGCTCTGAAAATTTTAAGAAAATGTTTTGATCACTGTGATCTGCAGTAACCCATTATCTATGTCTCTTCTATTTTTGTATCCACCTTCATTTGGGGAATGGAAAGGGACAGGACAGTTTTGTATTTATGTATGTACAGGACAGCTTATTCTGGTGTGTCCTGGGAAAAGCTCATTCATTGGCTTTCTGCTCTTTTCCATGGATTTCCTAGTTTTCCAAGCTCTAAGGCTTAGAGTTGAAAGACTGCTTCCTATCACAATCTATCTGCTTACAAGCTAGACTTTCAAAATCACACCATATAAGTACATATGCTGTGAGCCCTATATTTGATATGAAGGTTCCATCTCTTTAGTAGTAGGCTCTTAAGTTTTCAAAGAATAGCACTACTATGACATTGCCCAAAGGCCTGTAAAGTTGTTGCTATTGCTTTCATCAACTGTGATCTGTACTCATCTAGATTAGCTGCTACAACTATGGCAGGCATCACACCAACGCCCTGCCAGGTCATGATCACCTTCTTTTTACGTTGGGAAAAACATTCTTGGTTAATTTTTGAATGGCATGTCCACTTAAAATAGCCCCAGCCTGACAGCCAACTGGTATTTGATCACATTTTTTTTAGAATCCAGTGATCCTGTGCCCAGGTATGCTCTGGCAAGATATTCAACTTCAATACATAAACTTATTCTTCTTCAGACATCAGTTAAAGTATTTAAAGAATCACTTCCAGGCTTTGTGCTCACTAGAAAGGTTACTCTGACAATTGCCGTTTCAGCAACTTCTCACTCACATGTTGTAGCTTCCACCCAAGATTGAGTAGCATCCTGAAAATATGTCACTGTTGATGACTCCATCCATTAGAAATATGGGGAGTAATGTTCTCCAAGGATTCTTCCTTGTGATGAAGTATACTTTGACTGCAAAAGGCTACTGACTATGAAGGGGAATTTCCTACCACACTTGCGGGCCAGCCATGGTATTCTTTTTTCTCAAGTAATAAAGGTATTCTCTTTAAGAGGTTTGAAACTTAGTTTTAAGAGTCCTTTCTCTCAGTATCATTCTTGGGATATAATTCTGATTCAGTAAACGTTATGTCTCACATGAAAAACATAAGACCAAAGTGTTTTTTGTGTAATCACAGATCTGAACTGCTGATGTCCTAACTATCCTATTTTAGATTTTGCCCTTCCTGTCCTCTCCCCAGCTAGAAGGTATTAGTAGCATTAGCATTTCAAATAGTTGGTTATTTTTATTCTTATGCTCCATTACCATTGCCACAAAATTGCTAAAGTTGCCTAGGTGACCCACAAAAATAGGAAACGTTTGAAGAGCTATTTGAACTAAAAGGTATGGAACAGTTTTTATACAGCAGGCAAGATGGTCTCCAGTTCACAAGCACAAAAAAATAAATTTCTCCAGGTTATGTGACTTGCCTACAGTTATGCATACACAGCATGATCTGGAGGGAAAATTGCCTGTGAGAGTTCTGTGACTAGTGTGTAAGTTAATAAGAAAATCACCATTAGCATTCAAATCTACCTAGGATAAATTTCACTATAGTCTACATAGGATAAAATAAAATAAACTGAGATTCTGGCGATGAGGTATCAAATCTCTGTTTGTGATCAAAAAGAAATTCCCTGGATGGAGAAATGTTTTGAACCTGCCTTGAACTTGAAAACCCTTAGTCTTATTGTTTTCAACATTTACAAAATCATATCTTGTGTGATACAGTAGGCTTTCAATCTCTAAAGCATTACACAAAAA
This sequence comes from Homo sapiens, assembly GCF_000001405.40. NCBI lineage: Eukaryota > Metazoa > Chordata > Mammalia > Primates > Hominidae > Homo > Homo sapiens. The sequence continues at coordinate 68,075,633 of NC_000006.12, read as the reverse complement.
ATATGTGTTATTGAGTGAATTACAGGCTCATTGTATCACACAACTGATGTGAAATTGTTTGTTTTTGTTTGTGTGCCAGTAAGGAGAATGGATTTAGACTCCTATAACTGTGGGAACACCTTCAAGAGTTTAGCATTTAAGGGACTATCCAGTCCTCCTGTGTCTGTGTACATACTCTAAAACTTTTGTATAGATGTCTTTTCTTTATTGCTTTTTTTATGGATGTTCATCCTATATTGCCCCCAACTTTCTACCAAAAGACACATAAATATCTAGGCACCATTAACTGAAGGAGCACCATTAATATTCTAATGCCCCTAGAATATACATGTTGAGAAAGCAGGCCCTCCTTTCAAGTTTAGCAGAAAAGCTGATTACCAGCTTGGCCCATATCTTCCTGAGAAGTTCCAGCTTGCTTAGAAGTGCAGCACAGAAATATTCTAAAGGGAAACTTTGCTAGAGCTAGCAGGGAACATGAGAGGACTCTGGTAACTGATGGTTACTCTGAAGTACACCAATCTTAGTCACATTTCACAAAATTTCAGTTTGTCATATTATGCTAAAGGAAATGAGTGGAAAAATTCACATCGTGTCTATGGTTAGGCAAAATTATAAACTGAATATTCTTTCCGACCCTTTTCTACTACATGCTTTCTCAATGCAGGCAATACCATTTCCTCAGGGAAGTAAGAATACGTTATTCTTATGTGTAAAGCACAGATATACATAAATTGTATAAATAGATATACAGTACAGCTGTAGTATTAAAATTTCCTGGGAGGAATTAAGATAAAATGTCTAACAAGCCTGCTCAGGAGACTAATAATTTTTTAAAAATTTTAGAAACATTGGTCTATAGGATTAATGGATTGGCAATACCCCACCTTCAAGCTGAAAAGCCTGAAACACACGGCCCAAAGTGAGAACTTCTGTCTGCATGCCCACTCTATCCCGACTGGTTCTTTCTGAATGATGTCTTTTTAACAATTGAATGTTGCCTTTTCCAGAACTACCTATGGCCCACCATGCCACCCATCCTATGCCTATAAAGACCTCAGATTCAGTTGGCAGAAGAGAGAAGTGGCTGGATGTCAGGGAGAGGCGACTTGACTTCAGAGATGGTGGCTGTATATATTTGATATATATATATATATATTGCATATACATTTATCTTCATAGTTACATAGGTATAGTTATGTAGGATCTAATGTGTCTGACCTTTCTTATCTAAAAATATTCTCAATACCTTAGTCATGCAGTTTTTTTTTTCCAGCATGCCATTTTGACATAAGTGGTTTAACTTAGCCATTTTTATGCATCTGACCATTTTCCCTATAGACACCAGGATGAGAAGAGATGCTAGAGTGGCATTCTACTGCCATTTTGTGGATATTTTGCCAATGTTGGCAAAAGTTGGATATTCAATAATTTGTATTTCATTTCGATTTAAAACGTCTTCTAATTAAAGCAGCTGCATCAATACACTGTGAACTTAAGGAGTGCAGCTCTATTTTAGTTATTATTTTCAGTGAGACCATGTAGATGAAACCAGGTACGTTTGCACACATAACAAATAAAAATAATATTATTTGAAACATGATATAATAGATACAAAGAACAGTTACAGCAGAAAAAAAGGAGAAAAAAAGGCTTTCCATTGAAAGTGACATTTGCACTGAGACTCAAGAATAGAAATTTTCTTGGTGAGCAAGGGATAAAAGGGCATTTCTATTAGAGGCAGAAAACTGTGAAGTGGGGAAGACAAACCCTGCCAGGAGACAGAAAATAAAAAGCTTATTTACTCCTGAATTGCAGGAAGTTCAGAACAGTGGCAGAAGACGGACTAAGGGTCTAGTTTAGTGGCTGGAAACAGACGGAGGGCAAAGCCAAATGATGAAAAACCTTGACTGTCCTGTAAGAATTTAGATTTCTTTTTCCTGTAGGCTTTGGGAAATGGAAACTGGTTTTGAGTAGTGCAGGGCCTCAACACTTTTCCTTTAAGAAATGTACTACCCTGTTACTGTTATGAAAAATGTGTTGAAAATAATGACCAATTGGAAATGGTAGAAGGACACAAAGGAAAGCTGGATAATCTGTTTTGTGTGTAGAGTGATGTAATAGATCCTAAGGGCAGCAGTGTTTTCTGTCTCAATTTTAGAGAAGAGATTTATGATTTTCAGCATATAGGTAAGATTTCCAATAAAGATAATGTATGGAACTACCCAGGGGAAATACATAGAATGAAATGAGAAAAGGCAAAATTACAGAACAATAGGAGCTTATCTAAATTAAACCACAATGGGGTTAATGGTGAGATTAGCTGGATGACATTTGTAGAACCATTCATATATATTTAAATTTGAATCACACATAATCATAAATGAAAGTTTCTCAGATGGGTCAGGTAATGGTATGGTTCTTTGCTCCTTCATTGGTTATAAATTCTGTTTTTGTGAAGGTCTAGGGAAGTCGTTTGTTAATGCCACTAGTCATTTTATTACAAAGATGTTTACTTATGTGTGTGATCCTGTTTATGTAAAACAGCTATAGAATGCTGACCCATAACTAGCACTTTCTCTCACAGCACTTACTGTAAACTATTATAGCTTTCTCTTTACATATTCTTCATACAACTGTACCACTGCATCTTACTTTTCCAGATTATGGAGTATCTACTCACTTCTCCTTAGGGTAACTCTCTTCAATGCTTCACGGATGCCTATATACTACCTTCAGGATAAGCAACTTTGGGGATTCAAAGGGATCTTTCTTATGATCCATGAGACTTGCAGAGTAGAGTAGAACAAAAATAAATAACACAAATAAAAATGACAAACACAAACTGAATCTTTAGAAGACCCTAAGAGACTCATATGACATAAAGTGTTCTGTGTAGACTTGGAACCCAGTATAGGTTCTGATTGTACCAACTTTCTTAAGCTTCCTGAGCCACAGTTTACTCCTTTATAAATAGAGATATTAGTACCTGCCCTACTCACTCTGCAAGAATCAAGTAGCCCATGACACATTTATATGGTGGTACTTGTGAAAAACATATATTGTTATTAAAATATTAAAAATTATTACCATTTATTTAGCCAAGTAAGTTTTTATATTCTACCTGTTACAACTTAATCAGTACTTAGAATAGTCATTTTTTCACTAAAAAAATTGAATAGAAGAATACCGTCTGTCTTTCATGAAACTAGAATTCTATGAATAGTTTGCCACTTTTACTTTTATCTACAGACCTTGAATCTTTATAATAAAATCCTATTTTTAGCTTTATGATGTTATGACAGTATCTGTAACCTCAGATACTATTCATATTCATGAATCAATTTGCATATCAATTTAATATTCTCCTGCTTTGCTACACTTGTTATGATGTGCTATCTAAACTACCAGCTAAATTTTTAAAGAGTGTTGTAAGTATTTAGTTAGAGGCAATAATATGCAGTGGCACCTACACTAAAAAAATCAAAATATTTTCAGAGACACAATTGAAGCATCTCATGCTGAGATTTGTAGTGCTTTCATATCTAAGTTTGTCCCCCTCCACTACTGGTGTTTTGCAAAATCAGATTACCTAATAATTTGGAAATAATACTTAGTACTTGCTCTTTCACAATGACTGACTATTTTTAGTCATTAAAATATCAATCCCCTTTACTTTTGCTCTCATTAGCATGAGTAAGCAGATTTTAAAATTTTCTCTTCTCATTCCATTCTAAAACTGGCTTACATAGCATAGAAGGTTAGTAAAGAGGGAAAGCCTATTTCAAACATACAGAATCCCTCAAATCTCTGGCAAGAGAGAGCATCTTTTTGTTTTTAAGTCATGTTATTTTTGCAGGCTGTCTTCTTTATTATTTGCCACTATCATGTAAATCTCAACAAGTTCAAAGATGAAAGCTTCATTTGTTCCCTGTCATAATCTTCTCTTCCCTACCATGATCACGGTCATCCAGGCATGCAAGTCAGGATTATAAAAGTTATTCCAGGTTCTACTTTTTCCCTCATTGCCTCCTATCTCCATGATACCATTGAACCCTAAGTGACATTGATGCTAGACCTTTAACATCACCCAAATCATTCCCCTTTCCCTAATTTTATTACCTTTGTCCTTGTTTGAACTTTATTTTTTGTTATTTGCATTACTAATCTCAAGAGCTCCCGTGGCTTTCAAACTTGCCAAAATTTTATTTTCTCAATCAATACACACTATTTTTCGAATTTTAGCTTCACTGAAAACTTAAGCAGAGTACAGAGAGTTCCCAAATACTTCTGTCTGCTCCTCAGTTTCCTCTATTAGTAACATCTCACATTAACATGATACATTTGATGCAACTGATGAACCAATATTGATATTGATGAACCAATATTGATATTGATTATTATTAACTAAAGTTCATAATTTACGGATCATTCTTGTGTCAAACTGTTTTAGGGCTTTGACAAAGGTATAATGTCATATATCCATTATGACAGTGTTATAAAGAATAGTTTCACTGACCTAAAAATCCTTTGAGGTTCATCTCTTCATCTATCTCTCTTCCCATATCCCCAGATTCTGACAACCACTGATTTTTGTACTATCTCCACAATTTTGACTTCCAGAATGTCATATAGTTGGATTCATATGGTACGTAGCCTTTCAGATTGGCTTATTTCACTTAACAATATGCACTTAAAATTTCTCTATTATTATGGATTAACAACTCAATATTTTTATCAGTGAATAATATTCTAGTCTACATATGTACTACAGTTTGCTTTTGGTACATACATTTTGATTTCTTCCAAGTTTTGTCAATTATGAAGAAAACTTCTGTAAACATTTATATGTGGATTTTTTGTCAAATAGTTTTTAATTCAGATGAGTAAATATCTAGAAGCATGATTATTGAATTGTGTAGTAAGAATACATTTACTTTTATAAGAAATGCCCCAGCTGTCTTCCAAAGTGACTGTTCTATTTTGCATTCCAAGCAAAATTGAATGAAAGTTTCTGTTATTCCACATGCTCACCAGCATCTGGTGTTGTCAGCACTTTGGATACTAGCCATTCTCATTGGTATCTCGTTGCTCTTTCAATCTACAGTTCCCTAATGACATATGATGTTGAACATCTTGTCATATCCTCTGGCCATTTGCAAATGTTATTTGGTGAGTTTCACGTGTGTCCGTGTGAAGACACCACCAAACAGGCTTTGTGTGAGCAATAAAGCTTTTTAATCACCTGGGTGCAGGCAGGCTGCGTCCAAAAAGAGAGTCAGCGAAGGGAGATAGGGGTTGGGGCCATTTTATAGGATTTGGGTAGGTAGTGGAAAATTACAGTCAAAGGGGGTTGTTCTCTGACTGGCAGGGGTGGGGGTCACAAGGTGCTCAGTGGGGGAGCTTTTGAGCCAGGATGAGCCAGGAGAAGGAATTTCACAAGGTAATGTCATCAGTTAAGGCAGGAACAGGCCATTATCACTTCTTTTGTGATTCTTCCATTACTTTAGGCCATCTGGATGTATAGGTGCAGATCACAGGAGATATGATGGATTAGCTTGGGCTCAGAGGCCTGACAGTGAGGTGTCTTTTAAGACCTTTGGCTTACTTTTTAATTGGCTTTTTCTTATTGTTGGGTTTTAAGAGTTCTTTGCATATTTTGCAAACAAGCAACCCCTTTATCAGATATGTGTTTTGCAAATAATTTCTCCCAGTTTGTGGCTAGACTTTTAATTCTCTTAACAATGTCTTTCACAGAATAGGACCTTTTAATTTTAATAAAGTATAATTTACCAATTTTATTTGATGAATCAGACTTTGGTGTTGTATCTAAAAATTCATTACAAATTCAACATTGCCAAAACTATGTTATCTTCTAAGAATTGAATAGTTTTATATTTTACTTCTATAACTCATTTTAAAGTAATTATTATGAAAGGCATAAAGTTAGTGTCTAGATTCATTTTTGTGGCATGTGGATGTCTCTCCAGGACCACTTGCTGAAAACATTCATTCTCTATTGGATTGCCTTTGCTTGTCAAAATGCAGTTGACTGTACCTGTGTAGATATAATTCTGGGCTCTCTATTCTGTCTCATTCACTTGTTTATCTATTATTTAACCACTACTACACTGACTCTCTAGAGACTGTAGCTTTATATTAAGGCTTAGAATCAGCATCAATTTTTTTTTTTACTTTGTTCTTCAATATTGTGTTGGTTATTTTGAGGCTTTTGCCTTCTGTATAAACTTCAGATTCACTTTATCAGTATCCAAGTAACATGCTGAGATTGTGACTGGCATTTCATTTAATCTTTAGAATAAGTTGGGAGGACATTTAAAAAATATTAAGTCTTCCTAACCATGAACATGAAATACATCTCTATTTATTTATAACTACTTTGATTTCTCTGACCTACTTTTCTTTCTTTACACCAACACCATCGTGTGCCTCTGGAAATTTAAATATGATGCTTATGTTTTAAATTCCTCATTGGCTGTCCCTGACCACTCTGGCAAAGCCCAGTATTCTCTTTTATACTCTGAAACTTGCTGATCTTCCCAGAATCAGCCTCTGATACTCTCCTATCCATTGTTTACTGTCCAGCAGTACTGATGTATTTAATTCTCCTTAATGCACTGTTGGCCAAACCTCATATATAGTCTGAACAAATGTATTCTTCCTTTCTCTGACTATCACTGATTAAGGAGGTTGGATCTTATTCCTAGAATCCTTTGAATCTAAAAAGAACAATATCATCCAGATCTGTTTGTTGACAATTTCACTGGAACTTTAATAAGGCTTCTGTGAAAGATGCTTTCTTTCTGGTAGATGAAGTAAGGCTCACAGAAAGAACTGAATATGATGCCTGGGAGTGTGGTTGTCATCTTGCAGTGATACAGGAAATACTAAAGTAGTAGGAAATATACTATTCCAACACCCTAACATTGTGGAGTTGCTGAACCAACTTTATAACTAATTATATTTCTTGTACTCAAACAAGAAATAACCTTATAATTTAAACTCCTATCAGTGAGGCTTTCTGCTACTTGTAGCCTAAAGAACTCATAAGTGAGAATGCCCCATTTTGTTTGTGAACTCCTGGGTGTTCGTCTCTCTGCTTAGAATGGTATTCTCTGTCTTTCTTAAGAATTGTGATCTACACTTTAAAACAACTCAGTTGGTACCTCCTTTATGAAATTTTCTGACTTCACCACAACACTGAAAGAATGAATGATGCCCTCTCATTTCTTGCCTCTTTTGTAACTATTTGCCTGCATACAAACCCATATTAGTATAATTATTTGTGGATTAGGATCAAGTTTTACTCACTTTTGAATTTTCTCTTCCAGGGAAATATGTAACATGAAAATATTGTTTATCAGTGTTTGTCTTAAAGCATATTATTCTAAAGAATGGCCTGATTTAGACTTCCAACGTTAGAGAAAAATTAACTAGACAAATACATTTATGTTCAATATTTTCAATGATTACTTGAGTCTCAATCTATTTGTATTTATTTGATCTTAATGAACACTGAATCTTATACATATTTTAGACATCCATATGTTTTCTAATGTTTTGTCATTTGAAGTACTGATTTACTTCTACAAATAGAAATACATGAGTTGAAATAAAATGATAAAATTGTTCTCAGTAATTTTTAGTTTTAGCTGAAAATATTATGCATATAAACTAATTTAATGTTATTTGGAACAAAATGAAAACCAAATGATTGTACTGAATTTAAGAAAGGTATATCTTATATGTTAAAACAAATGACTTTTGGTCTCCAAACTTTTCTTATTATAAAATAAAAATATTGTTGCAGAAAACTTAGAAAATATAGGCAAAGACATTTTTTAAAATCACTCATATTCTCATCATAGAAAGAACCAATATGAACCTACTGCTCTATTTATTCCTTGCCTTTTCATCCATTTATTTAGTTTTTAAACAAATGCAACATCATTCTGTACATTTTCTGTAACCTGCATCCTTCACATAAAAATTTATATTCTGAGAATATTTCTATATGATTACATATTTTTTCTATAAGATTTAAGCACTTTTAAAAAAAAAAGTTAGATTTACTTAAAAATTGCAAAAAATAGTACAGAAAGCTCCTGTATGCACTTCCACCAGCTTTCTCTCATGTTAACATCTTGTATAACCACAGTAAAATTATTAATGCTAATAAATTAATATTGACAAATGCCACTAACTAAACTACAGGCTTTATTTAGATTTTACCAAGGTTTTTTAAAATTAATGTTATTTTTTTCTGTTCCAGATTCAAATACAGAATCCCACTTTTCATTTAATTTTCAAGTATAAGCTTATTTTTAACACAGTGTTTTCTACTTCCTCACATCATATGGTAAGAAATGAGAGACTGCTATTATTGAACATTTCCTATCATGCAGGAACTTTTCAAATAAAAAGACTGTATGGTATTAAAAAAAAACAAAAAAACGTATTTTTTTTTTCACACAAGTGAGAACTCTGAGGCAAGAAAGATCACATATGTGGCCAAAAATCATACAGCTGGCAATTGGCAGAACCGATACAGAAGCCCAAGTGGTCCAATGTTTAAGCCTATGTTCTTTATTACTTACTAATATTAAACATTAATATGTTTGCAAATCCCCCAATATAAAGAATACAGTCATTCATAATCCTGCAGATGAACCATTTCTATCAACTGTTGTTTTCATTTTTAATTTTTTAAATTATACATTAATTGACACATAATTGTACATAATTATGGTGTACAATGTGATATTTCAATGCATGTATACATGGCATAATGATCAAATTTAGGTAATTCCTATATTCATCACTTTAAATATTTATCATTGTTTGTGGTGATGTTTAGAACCTTGTAGCTATCTTGAGATGTATATCATTACTTGCTATAATCACACCACTGTGTAACAGAACACCAAAACTTTTTCTTCAAAGAGGTTCTAAGTCAATTTTTGTCAGTGTAACAAAGTTTCAGAGATTAACATTTTATTCTGTCTTTTTGGTAAAACAAACAACTGAGAAAAATAATCTCCTAAAGTGCTTATTTGAACTATACATCCATTAAACTTAGTAGGATCATAGTAAATTCAAAAACAAGAATTACCATCAGTCTGACCTAGTTTCTTTGAAGGTATATGAGCCTACCTATTTACATTATTTTTTTAACCAATACCTCGACCATTTATCAGCATTAGTTTTAGTGATTACAGCTTATTATCTCTATATTCACTTGTTAGGGTGAGAGCTAAAACTTATCTACAAAAGATGCAGTTCCAGGGTGGTTTAGTAAGTCATTTCATGGGTAGTTATGCTTTGAGCATGATAATGTACTAATCTGCCTGTGGAGTTTTATTAACATCTTAGTGTATTAATAAAGCATTATATTAAATAACATATCTAAAATGTCTGTATAATTTTGTATCTCAAAATTTTGTACCTGCTGCCACTACTTCTATTATAATCATTATTATGACTTTAACATGTTTTATAATGGAGTGATGAAGTTTAACTTCCAGACTAAGTTTATATACTCTCTGTATTCAGAAGAAAGTTTTGTACAATTGACAAAATATCCTCTCATCTAGCATCCTGTATATTACTAGAAGCCCCATTTTATAAGTGAAAAAAAATCACTGCTCAGGGAGATTAATTTGCCTAGGTGTCTTGGTTGATTTAAACTGCATGTTTTCATAGTCCATGGCCTGATGCTTTTAACTAAAGCACCCATGTAATCCCTGTTTTATGGAAATCATGATTGAGGGGCAAGATAAGTAAATTCACCTCAGAGTAAAATATGTTACAGTAGATTTTATGGCATTTTATAAAGGTAAGTATAATTCTGAATATTCCAAATACCATGAAATCTTTTTTTTTTTTTTTTTTTTTTTTGAGGCAGAGTCTGGCTCTGTAGCCCAGGCTGGAGTGCAGTGGCATGATCCCAGCTCACTGCAACCTCTGCCTCCCGGGTTCAAGCGATTCTCCTGCCTCACTTTCCTGTGTTGCTGGGATTACAGGCATTAACAACCATGTTCAGCTAATTTTTGTATTTTCAGTAGAGATGGGGTTTCTCCATGTTGGCCAGGTTGGTCTCAAACTCCTGGCCTCAAGAGATCCGCCTGCCTCAGCCTCCCAAAGTGCTGGGATTACAGGTGTGAGCCACTGCACCCAGCCTGAAATGGATATTATCATCATTTTTGAAAAGATAATTTTCTTTGTCCCTTCCTCCCATTTTGGCTACAAAGCCACCCCATTGTATTCTGATTCCAATACAAAACTTCTTTTAAAAATTGTTTGCTCTCCATATCTATCTTTCAACTCACTGTAGTGCAGCTTTTATCTCTGCCACTCCGTCATATTCACTCACAGGACATTGGTGGCCTCCTGCTGGACTGGTTTCTTGCTTCTTTTTATTCTTCATCCTTGGTATCCCTCCTGCTTCTGAAAATTTAAGTCTTCTCTCTTTGTGTGGAGAACTTCTCCCATTCAAGTTATTTGCTTGTTATGTTTAAGAATTGCTTCTGCTGATTTTAATCTTCCACACCCCCACATTTCTACCCTATTTTTCCCAACCACTTCCCTGACTCACTCTCACTCTTAATTCTAGGCAGTATTTGTGTGCAGTTTTTGCAATATATGTGCTTAGGAAAAGACTTAAGATGTAAACTTATACTTGAGATGAG